>NC_000007.14:60551011-60828234 GCF_000001405.40 Homo sapiens
TTGATGCCAACAGTAGAAAAGGAAATATCTTCAAATAAAAACTAGACAGAATCATTCTCAGAAACTACTTTGTGATGTGTGCCTTCAACTCACAGAGTTTAACCTTTCTTTTCTTAGAGCAGTTTAGAAACACTCTGCTTGTTATGTCTGCAAGTGGATATTTGGACCTCTTTGAGGCCTTCGTTGCAAACGGGGTTTCTTCCTTTCATGCTAGACTAAGAAGAGTTCTCAGTAACTTTTTTGTGTTGTGTGTATTCAACTCACAGAGTTGAACCTTGCTTTAGAGAGAGCAGATTTGAAACACTCTTGCTGTGGCATTTTCAGGTGGAGATTTCAAGCGATTTGAGGACAATTGCAGAAAAGGAAATATCTTCGTATAACAACCAGACAGAATCATTCTCAGAAAGTGCTTTGTGATGTGTGCGTTCAACTCACAGAGTTTAACCTTTCTTTTCATAGAGGAGTTTGGAAACACACTGTTTGTAAAGTCTGCAATTGGATATATGGACCTGTTTGAGGCCTCCGTTGGAAACGGGATTTCTTCATTGAATGCTAGACGGAAGAATTCTCAGTAAATTCTTTGTGTTGTGTGCATTCAACTCACAGAGTGGAACGTCCCTTTAGACAGAGCAGATTTGAAACACTCTTTTTGCGGAATTTGCAAGTGGAGATTTCTAGCCATTTGATGTCAACAGTAGAAAGGGAAATATCTTCAAATAAAAACCAGACAGAATCATTCTCAGAAAATTCTTTGTGATGTGTGCGTTCAACTCACATAGTTTAACCTTTCTTTTCATAGAGCAGTTTGGAAACACTCTGTTTGTAAAGTCTGCAAGTGGATATATGGACCGCATTGAGGCCTTCGTTGGAAACGGGATTTCTTCATTTCATGCTAGACAGAAGAATTCTCAGTAACTTCTTTGTGCTGTGTGTATTCAACTCACAGAGTGGAACGTCCCTTTGCACAGAGCAGATTTGAAAAACTCTTTTTGTGGAGTTTGCAATTGGAGATTTCAAGCGATTTGATGCCAACAGTAGAAAAGGAAATATCTTCAAATAAAAACTAGACAGAATCATTCTCAGAAACTACTTTGTGATGTGTGCCTTCAACTCACAGAGTTTAACCTTTCTTTTCTTAGAGCAGTTTAGAAACACTCTGCTTGTTATGTCTGCAAGTGGATATTTGGACCTCTTTGAGGCCTTCGTTGCAAACGGGGTTTCTTCCTTTCATGCTAGACTAAGAAGAGTTCTCAGTAACTTTTTTGTGTTGTGTGTATTCAACTCACAGAGTTGAACCTTGCTTTAGAGAGAGCAGATTTGAAACACTCTTGCTGTGGCATTTTCAGGTGGAGATTTCAAGCGATTTGAGGACAATTGCAGAAAAGGAAATATCTTCGTATAATAACCAGACAGAATCATTCTCAGAAAGTGCTATGTGATGTGTGCGTTCAACTCACAGAGTTTAACCTTTCTTTTCATAGAGGAGTTTGGAAACACACTGTTTGTAAAGTCTGCAATTGGATATATGGACCTGTTTGAGGCCTTCGTTGGAAACGGGATTTCTTCATTGAATGCTAGACGGAAGAATTCTCAGTAAATTCTTTGTGTTGTGTGCATTCAACTCACAGAGTGGAACGTCCCTTTAGACAGAGCAGATTTGAAACACTCTTTTTGCGGAATTTGCAAGTGGAGATTTCTAGCCATTTGATGCCAACAGTAGAAAGGGAAATATCTTCAAATAAAAACCAGACAGAATCATTCTCAGAAAATTCTTTGTGATGTGTGCGTTCAACTCACATAGTTTAACCTTTCTTTTCATAGAGCAGTTTGGAAACACTCTGTTTGTAAAGTCTGCAAGTGGATATATGGACCGCATTGAGGCCTTCGTTGGAAACGGGATTTCTTCATTTCATGCTAGACAGAAGAATTCTCAGTAACTTCTTTGTGCTGTGTGTATTCAACTCACAGAGTGGAACGTCCCTTTACACAGAGCAGATTTGAAACACTCTTTTTATGGAGTTTGCAAGTGGAGATTTCAAGCGATTTGATGCCAACAGTAGAAAAGGAAATATCTTCAAATAAAAACTAGACAGAATCATTCTCAGAAACTACTTTGTGATGTGTGCCTTCAAATCACAGAGTTTAACCTTTCTTTTCTTAGAGCAGTTTAGAAACACTCTGCTTGTTATGTCTACAAGTGGATATTTGGACCTCTTTGAGGCCTTCGTTGCAAACGGGGTTTCTTCCTTTCATGCTAGACTAAGAAGAGTTCTCAGTAACTTTTTTGTGTTGTGTGTATTCAACTCACAGAGTTGAACCTTGCTTTAGAGAGAGCAGATTTGAAACACTCTTGCTGTGGCATTTTCAGGTGGAGATTTCAAGCGATTTGAGGACAATTGCAGAAAAGGAAATATCTTCGTATAATAACCAGACAGAATCATTCTCAGAAAGTGCTTTGTGATGTGTGCGTTCCACTCACAGAGTTTAACCTTTCTTTTCATAGAGGAGTTTGGAAACACACTGTTTGTAAACTCTGCAAGTGGATATATGGACCTGTTTGAGGCCTTCGTTGGAAACGGGATTTCTTCATTGAATGCTAGACGGAAGAATTCTCAGTAAATTCTTTGTGTTGTGTGCATTCAACTCACAGAGTGGAACGTCCCTTTAGACAGAGCAGATTTGAAACACTCTTTTTGCGGAATTTGCAAGTGGAGATTTCTAGCCATTTGATGCCAACAGTAGAAAGGGAAATATCTTCAAATAAAAACCAGACAGAATCATTCTCAGAAAATTCTTTGTGATGTGTGCGTTCAACTCACATAGTTTAACCTTTCTTTTCATAGAGCAGTTTGGAAACACTCTGTTTGTAAAGTCTGCAAGTGGATATATGGACCGCATTGAGGCCTTCGTTGGAAACGGGATTTCTTCATTTCATGCTAGACAGAAGAATTCTCAGTAACTTCTTTGTGCTGTGTGTATTCAACTCACAGAGTGGAACGTCCCTTTGCACAGAGCAGATTTGAAACACTCTTTTTGTGGAGTTTGCAAGTGGAGATTTCAAGCGATTTGATGCCAACAGTAGAAAAGGAAATATCTTCAAATAAAAACTAGACAGAATCATTCTCAGAAACTACTTTGTGATGTGTGCCTTCAACTCACAGAGTTTAACCTTTCTTTTCTTAGAGCAGCTTAGAAACACTCTGCTTGTTATGTCTGCAAGTGGATATTTGGACCTCTTTGAGGCCTTCGTTGCAAACGGGGTTTATTCCTTTAATGCTAGACTAAGAAGAGTTCTCAGTAACTTTTTTGTGTTGTGTGTATTCAACTCACAGAGTTGAACCTTGCTTTAGAGAGAGCAGATTTGAAACACTCTCGCTGTGGAATTTTCAGGTGGAGATTTCAAGCGATTTGAGGACAATTGCAGAAAAGGAAATATCTTCGTATAATAACCAGACAGAATCATTCTCAGAAAGTGCTTTGTGATGTGTGCGTTCAACTCACAGAGTTTAACCTTTCTTTTCATAGAGGAGTTTGGAAACACACTGTTTGTAAAGTCTGCAATTGGATATATGGACCTGTTTGAGGCCTTCGTTGGAAACGGGATTTCTTCATTGAATGCTAGGCGGAAGAATTCTCAGTAAATTCTTTGTGTTGTGTGCATTCAACTCACAGCAGTGGAACGTCCCTTTAGACAGAGCAGATTTGAAACACTCTTTTTGCGGAATTTGCAAGTGGAGATTTCTAGCCATTTGATGCCAACAGTAGAAAGGGAAACATCTTCAAATAAAAACCAGACAGAATCATTCTCAGAAAATTCTTTGTGATGTGTGCGTTCAACTCACATAGTTTAACCTTTCTTTTCATAGAGCAGTTTGGAAACACTCTGTTTGTAAAGTCTGCAAGTGGATATATGGACCGCATTGAGGCCTTCGTTGGAAACGGGATTTCTTCATTTCATGCTAGACAGAAGAATTCTCAGTAACTTCTTTGTGCTGTGTGTATTCAACTCACAGAGTGGAACGTCCCTTTGCACAGAGCAGATTTGAAACACTCTTTTTGTGGAGTTTGCAAGTGGAGATTTCAAGCGATTTGATGCCAACAGTAGAAAAGGAAATATCTTCAAATAAAAACTAGACAGAATCATTCTCAGAAACTACTTTGTGATGTGTGCCTTCAACTCAGAGTTTAATCTTTCTTTTCTTAGAGCAGTTTAGAAACACTCTGCTTGTTATGTCTGCAAGTGGATATTTGGACCTCTTTGAGGCCTTCGTTGCAAACGGGGTTTCTTCCTTTCATGCTAGACTAAGAAGAGTTCTCAGTAACTTATTTGTGTTGTGTGTATTCAACTCACAGAGTTGAACCTTGCTTTAGAGAGAGCAGATTTGAAACACTCTTGCTGTGGCATTTTCAGGTGGAGATTTCAAGCGATTTGAGGACAATTGCAGAAAAGGAAATATCTTCGTATAACAACCAGACAGAATCATTCTCAGAAAGTGCTTTGTGATGTGTGCGTTCAACTCACAGAGTTTAACCTTTCTTTTCATAGAGGAGTTTGGAAACACACTGTTTGTAAAGTCTGCAATTGGATATATGGACCTGTTTGAGGCCTTCGTTGGAAACGGGATTTCTTCATTGAATGCTAGACGGAAGAATTCTCAGTAAATTCTTTGTGTGGTGTGCATTCAACTCACAGAGTGGAACGTCCCTTTAGACAGAGCAGATTTGAAACACTCTTTTTGCGGAATTTGCAAGTGGAGATTTCTAGCCATTTGATGCCAACAGTAGAAAGGGAAATATCTTCAAATAAAAACCAGACAGAATCATTCTCAGAAAATTCTTTGTGATGTGTGCGTTCAACTCACATAGTTTAACACTTTCTTTTCATAGAGCAGTTTGGAAACACTCTGTTTGTAAAGTCTGCAAGTGGCTATATGGACCGCATTGAGGCCTTCGTTGGAAACGGGATTTCTTCATTTCATGCTAGACAGAAGAATTCTCAGTAACTTCTTTGTGCTGTGTGTATTCAACTCACAGAGTGGAACGTCCCTTTACACAGAGCAGATTTGAAACACTCTTTTTGTGGAGTTTGCAAGTGGAGATTTCAAGCGATTTGATGCCAACAGTAGAAAAGGAAATATCTTCAAATAAAAACTAGACAGAATCATTCTCAGAAACTGCTTTGTGATGTGTGCCTTCAACTCACAGAGTTTAACCTTTCTTTTCTTAGAGCAGTTTAGAAACACTCTGCTTGTTATGTCTGCAAGTGGATATTTGGACCTCTTTGAGGCCTTCGTTGCAAACGGGGTTTCTTCCTTTCATGCTAGACTAAGAAGAGTTCTCAGTAACTTTTTTGTGTTGTGTGTATTCAACTCACAGAGTTGAACCTTGCTTTAGAGAGAGCAGATTTGAAACACTCTTGCTGTGGTATTTTCAGGTGGAGATTTCAAGCGATTTGAGGACAATTGCAGAAAAGGAAATATCTTCGTATAACAACCAGACAGAATCATTCTCAGAAAGTGCTTTGTGATGTGTGCGTTCAACTCACAGAGTTTAACCTTTCTTTTCATAGAGGAGTTTGGAAACACACTGTTTGTAAAGTCTGCAATTGGATATATGGACCTGTTTGAGGCCTTCGTTGGAAACGGGATTTCTTCATTGAATGCTAGACGGAAGAATTCTCAGTAAATTCTTTGTGTTGTGTGCATTCAACTCACCGAGTGGAACGTCCCTTTAGACAGAGCAGATTTGAAACACTCTTTTTGCGAAATTTGGAAATGGAGATTTCAAGCCATTTGATGCCAACAATAGAAAGGGAAATATCTTCAAATAAAAACTAGACAGAATCATTCTCAGAAAATTCTTTGTGATGTGTGCGTTCAACTCACATAGTTTAACCTTTCTTTTCATAGAGCAGTTTGGAAACACTCTGCTTGTAAAGTCTGCAAGTAGATATATGGACCGCTTTGAGGCCTTCGTTGGAAACGGGATTTCTTCATTTCATGCTAGACAGAAGAATTCTCAGTAACTTCTTTGTGCTGTGTGTATTCAACTCACAGAGTGGAACGTCCCTTTAGACAGAGCAGATTTGAAACACTCTTTTTGTGGAATTTGCAAGTGGAGATTTCAAGCGATTTGATGCCAGCAGTAGAAAAGGAAATATCTTCAAATAAAAACTAGACAGAATCATTCTCAGAAACTACTTTGTGATGTGTGCCTTCAACTCACAGAGTTTAACCTTTCTTTTCTTAGAGCAGTTTAGAAACACTCTGCTTGTTATGTCTGCAAGTGGATATTTGGACCTCTTTGAGGCCTTCGTTGCAAACGGGGTTTCTTCCTTTAATGCTAGACTAAGAAGAGTTCTCAGTAACTTTTTTGTGTTGTGTGTATTCAACTCACAGAGTTGAACCTTGCTTTAGAGAGAGCAGATTTGAAACACTCTTGCTGTGGCATTTTCAGGTGGAGATTTCAAGCGATTTGAGGACAATTGCAGAAAAGGAAATATCTTCGTATAACAACCAGACAGAATCATTCTCAGAAAGTGCTTTGTGATGTGTGCGTTCCACTCACAGAGTTTAACCTTTCTTTTCATAGAGGAGTTTGGAAACACACTGTTTGTAAACTCTGCAAGTGGATATATGGACCTGTTTGAGGCCTTCGTTGGAAACGGGATTTCTTCATTGAATGCTAGACGGAAGAATTCTCAGTAAATTCTTTGTGTTGGGTGCATTCAACTCACAGAGTGGAACGTCCCTTTAGACAGAGCAGATTTGAAACACTCTTTTTGCGGAATTTGCAAGTGGAGATTTCTAGCCATTTGATGCCAACAGTAGAAAGGGAAATATCTTCAAATAAAAACCAGACAGAATCATTCTCAGAAAATTCTTTGTGATGTGTGCGTTCAACTCACATAGTTTAACCTTTCTTTTCATAGAGCAGTTTGGAAACACTCTGTTTGTAAAGTCTGCAAGTGGATATATGGACCGCATTGAGGCCTTCGTTGGAAACGGGATTTCTTCATTTCATGCTAGACAGAAGAATTCTCAGTAACTTCTTTGTGCTGTGTGTATTCAACTCACAGAGTGGAACGTCCCTTTACACAGAGCAGATTTGAAACACTCTTTTTGTGGAGTTTGCAAGTGGAGATTTCAAGCGATTTGATGCCAGCAGTAGAAAAGGAAATATCTTCAAATAAAAACTAGACAGAATCATTCTCAGAAACTACTTTGTGATGTGTGCCTTCAACTCACAGAGTTTAACCTTTCTTTTCTTAGAGCAGTTTAGAAACACTCTGCTTGTTATGTCTGCAAGTGGATATTTGGACCTCTTTGAGGCCTTCGTTGCAAACGGGGTTTCTTCCTTTAATGCTAGACTAAGAAGAGTTCTCAGTAAATTTTTTGTGTTGTGTGTATTCAACTCACAGAGTTGAACCTTGCTTTAGAGAGAGCAGATTTGAAACACTCTTGCTGTGGCATTTTCAGGTGGAGATTTCAAGCGATTTGAGGACAATTGCAGAAAAGGAAATATCTTCGTATAACAACCAGACAGAATCATTCTCAGAAAGTGCTTTGTGATGTGTGCGTTCAACTCACAGAGTTTAACCTTTCTTTCCATAGAGGAGTTTGGAAACACACTGTTTGTAAAGTCTGCAAGTGGATATATGGACCTGTTTGAGGCCTTCGTTGGAAACGGGATTTCTTCATTGAATGCTAGACGGAAGAATTCTCAGTAAATTCTTTGTGTTGTGTGCATTCAACTCACAGAGTGGAACGTCCCTTTAGACAGAGCAGATTTGAAACACTCTTTTTGCGGAATTTGCAAGTGGAGATTTCTAGCCATTTGATGCCAACAGTAGAAAGGGAAATATCTTCAAATAAAAACCAGACAGAATCATTCTCAGAAAATTCTTTGTGATGTGTGCGTTCAACTCACATAGTTTAACCTTTCTTTTCATAGAGCAGTTTGGAAACACTCTGTTTGTAAAGTCTGCAAGTGGATATATGGACCGCATTGAGGCCTTCGTTGGAAACGGGATTTCTTCATTTCATGCTAGACAGAAGAATTCTCAGTAACTTCTTTGTGCTCTGTGTATTCAACTCACAGAGTGGAACGTCCCTTTGCACAGAGCAGATTAGAAACACTCTTTTTGTGGAATTTGCAAGTGGAGATTTCAAGCGATTTGATGCCAACAGTAGAAAAGGAAATATCTTCAAATAAAAACTAGACAGAATCATTCTCAGAAACTACTTTGTGATGTGTGCCTTCAACTCACAGAGTTTAACCTTTCTTTTCTTAGAGCAGTTTAGAAACACTCTGCTTGTTATGTCTGCAAGTGGATATTTGGACCTCTTTGAGGCCTTCGTTGCAAACGGGGTTTCTTCCTTTCATGCTAGACTAAGAAGAGTTCTCAGTAACTTTTTTGTGTTGTGTGTATTCAACTCACAGAGTTGAACCTTGCTTTAGAGAGAGCAGATTTGAAACACTCTTGCTGTGGCATTTTCAGGTGGAGATTTCAAGCGATTTGAGGACAATTGCAGAAAAGGAAATATCTTCGTATAATAACCAGACAGAATCATTCTCAGAAAGTGCTTTGTGATGTGTGCGTTCAACTCACAGACTTTAACCTTTCTTTTCATAGAGGAGTTTGGAAACACACTGTTTGTAAAGTCTGCAAGTGGATATATGGACCTGTTTGAGGCCTTCGTTGGAAACGGGATTTCTTCATTGAATGCTAGACGGAAGAATTCTCAGTAAATTCTTTGTGTTGTGTGCATTCAACTCACAGAGTGGAACGTCCCTTTAGACAGAGCAGATTTGAAACACTCTTTTTGCGGAATTTGCAAGTGGAGATTTCTAGCCATTTGATGCCAACAGTAGAAAGGGAAATATCTTCAAATAAAAACCAGACAGAATCATTCTCAGAAAATTCTTTGTGATGTGTGCGTTCAACTCACATAGTTTAACCTTTCTTTTCATAGAGCAGTTTGGAAACACTCTGTTTGTAAAGTCTGCAAGTGGATATATGGACCGCATTGAGGCCTTCGTTGGAAACGGGATTTCTTCATTTCATGCTAGACAGAAGAATTCTCAGTAACTTCTTTGTGCTGTGTGTATTCAACTCACAGAGTGGAACGTCCCTTTGCACAGAGCAGATTTGAAACACTCTTTTTGTGGAGTTTGCAAGTGGAGATTTCAAGCGATTTGATGCCAACAGTAGAAAAGGAAATATCTTCAAATAAAAACTAGACAGAATCATTCTCAGAAACTACTTTGTGATGTGTGCCTTCAACTCACAGAGTTTAACCTTTCTTTTCTTAGAGCAGTTTAGAAACACTCTGCTTGTTATGTCTGCAAGTGGATATTTGGACCTCTTTGAGGCCTTCGTTGCAAACGGGGTTTCTTCCTTTAATGCTAGACTAAGAAGACTTCTCAGTAACTTTTTTGTGTTGTGTGCATTCAACTCACAGAGTGGAACGTCCCTTTAGACAGAGCAGATTTGAAACACTCTTTTTGCGGAAGTTGCAAGTGGAGATTTCTAGCCATTTGATGCCAACAGTACAAAGGGAAATATCTTCAAATAAAAACTAGACAGAATCATTCTCAGAAAATTCTTTGTGATGTGTGCGTTCAACTCACATAGTTTAACCTTTCTTTTCATAGAGCAGTTTGGAAACACTCTGTTTGTAAAGTCTGCAAGTGGATATATGGACCGCATTGAGGCCTTCGTTGGAAACGGGATTTCTTCATTTCATGCTAGACAGAAGAATTCTCAGTAACTTCTTTGTGCTGTGTGTATTCAACTCACAGAGTGGAACGTCCCTTTACACAGAGCAGATTTGAAACACTCTTTTTGTGGAGTTTGCAAGTGGAGATTTCAAGCGATTTGATGCCAACAGTAGAAAAGGAAATATCTTCAAATAAAAACTAGACAGAATCATTCTCAGAAACTACTTTGTGATGTGTGCCTTCAACTCACAGAGTTTAACCTTTCTTTTCTTAGAGCAGTTTAGAAACACTCTGCTTGTTATGTCTGCAAGTGGATATTTGGACCTCTTTGAGGCCTTCGTTGCAAACGGGGTTTCTTCCTTTCATGCTAGACTAAGAAGAGTTCTCAGTAACTTTTTTGTGTTGTGTGTATTCAACTCACAGAGTTGAACCTTGCTTTAGAGAGAGCAGATTTGAAACACTCTTGCTGTGGCATTTTCAGGTGGAGATTTCAAGCGTTTTGAGGACAATTGCAGAAAAGGAAATATCTTCGTATAATAACCAGACAGAATCATTCTCAGAAAGTGCTTTGTGATGTGTGCGTTCAACTCACAGAGTTTAACCTTTCTTTTCATAGAGGAGTTTGGAAACACACTGTTTGTAAAGTCTGCAATTGGATATATGGACCTGTTTGAGGCCTTCGTTGGAAACGGGATTTCTTCATTGAATGCTAGACGGAAGAATTCTCAGTAAATTCTTTGTGTTGTGTGCATTCAACTCACAGAGTGGAACGTCCCTTTAGACAGAGCAGATTTGAAACACTCTTTTTGCGGAATTTGCAAGTGGAGATTTCTAGCCATTTGATGCCAACAGTAGAAAGGGAAATATCTTCAAATAAAAACCAGACAGAATCATTCTCAGAAAATTCTTTGTGATGTGTGCGTTCAACTCACATAGTTTAACCTTTCTTTTCATAGAGCAGTTTGGAAACACTCTGTTTGTAAAGTCTGCAAGTGGATATATGGACCGCATTGAGGGCTTCGTTGGAAACGGGATTTCTTCATTTCATGCTAGACAGAAGAATTCTCAGTAACTTCTTTGTGCTGTGTGTATTCAACTCACAGAGTGGAACGTCCCATTACACAGAGCAGATTTGAAACTCTCTTTTTGTGGAGTTTGCAAGTGGAGATTTCAAGCGATTTGATGCCAACAGTAGAAAAGGAAATATCTTCAAATAAAAACTAGACAGAATCATTCTCAGAAACTACTTTGTGATGTGTGCCTTCAACTCACAGAGTTTAACCTTTCTTTTCTTAGAGCAGCTTAGAAACACTCTGCTTGTTATGTCTGCAAGTGGATATTTGGACCTCTTTGAGGCCTTCGTTGCAAACAGGGTTTCTTCCTTTAATGCTAGACTAAGAAGAGTTCTCAGTAACTTTTTTGTGTTGTGTGTATTCAACTCACAGAGTTGAACCTTGCTTTAGAGAGAGCAGATTTGAAACACTCTTGCTGTGGCATTTTCAGGTGGAGATTTCAAGCGATTTGAGGACAATTGCAGAAAAGGAAATATCTTCGTATAATAACCAGACAGAATCATTCTCAGAAAGTGCTTTGTGATGTGTGCGTTCAACTCACAGAGTTTAACCTTTCTTTTCATAGAGGAGTTTGGAAACACACTGTTTGTAAAGTCTGCAATTGGATATATGGACCTGTTTGAGGCCTTCGTTGGAAACGGGATTTCTTCATTGAATGCTAGACGGAAGAATTCTCAGTAAATTCTTTGTGTTGTGTGCATTCAACTGACAGAGTGGAACGTCCCTTTAGACAGAGCAGATTTGAAACACTCTTTTTGCGGAATTTGCAAGTGGAGATTTCTAGCCATTTGATGCCAACAGTAGAAAGGGAAATATCTTCAAATAAAAACCAGACAGAATCATTCTCAGAAAATTCTTTGTGATGTGTGCGTTCAACTCACATAGTTTAACCTTTCTTTTCATAGAGCAGTTTGGAAACACTCTGTTTGTAAAGTCTGCAAGTGGATATATGGACCGCATTGAGGCCTTCGTTGGAAACGGGATATCTTCATTTCATGCTAAACAGAAGAATTCTCAGTAACTTCTTTGTGCTGTGTGTATTGAACTCACAGAGTGGAACGTCCCTTTGCACAGAGCAGATTTGAAACACTCTTTTTGTGGAATTTGCAAGTGGAGATTTCAAGCGATCTGATGCCAACAGTAGAAAAGGAAATATCTTCAAATAAAAACTAGACAGAATCATTCTCAGAAACTACTTTGTGATGTGTGCCTTCAACTCACAGAGTTTAACCTTTCTTTTCTTAGAGCAGTTTAGAAACACTCTGCTTGTTATGTCTGCAAGTGGATATTTGGACCTCTTTGAGGCCTTCGTTGCAAACGGGGTTTCTTCCTTTCATGCTAGACTAAGAAGAGTTCTCAGTAACTTTTTTGTGTTGTGTGTATTCAACTCACAGAGTTGAACCTTGCTTTAGAGAGAGCAGATTTGAAACACTCTTGCTGTGGCATTTTCAGGTGGAGATTTCAAGCGATTTGAGGACAATTACAGAAAAGGAAATATCTTCGTATAACAACCAGACAGAATCATTCTCAGAAAGTGCTTTGTGATGTGTGCGTTCCACTCACAGAGTTTAACCTTTCTTTTCATAGAGGAGTTTGGAAACACACTGTTTGTAAAGTCTGCAAGTGGATATATGGACCTGTTTGAGGCCTTCGTTGGAAACGGGATTTCTTCATTGAATGCTAGACGGAAGAATTCTCAGTAAATTCTTTGTGTTGTGTGCATTCAACTCACAGAGTGGAACGTCCCTTTAGACAGAGCAGATTTGAAACACTCTTTTTGCGGAATTTGCAAGTGGAGATTTCTAGCCATTTGATGCCAACAGTAGAAAGGGAAATATCTTCAAATAAAAACCAGACAGAATCATTCTCAGAAAATTCTTTGTGATGTGTGCGTTCAACTCACATAGTTTAACCTTTCTTTTCATAGAGCAGTTTGGAAACACTCTGTTTGTAAAGTCTGCAAGTGGATATATGGACCGCATTGAGGCCTTCGTTGGAAACGGGATTTCTTCATTTCATGCTAGACAGAAGAATTCTCAGTAACTTCTTTGTGCTGTGTGTATTCAACTCACAGAGTGGAACGTCCCTTTGCACAGAGCAGATTTGAAACACTCTTTTTGTGGAGTTTGCAAGTGGAGATTTCAAGCGATTTGATGCCAACAGTAGAAAAGGAAATATCTTCAAATAAAAACTAGACAGAATCATTCTCAGAAACTACTTTGTGATGTGTGCCTTCAACTCACAGAGTTTAACCTTTCTTTTCTTAGAGCAGTTTAGAAACACTCTGCTTGTTATGTCTGCAAGTGGATATTTGGACCTCTTTGAGGCCTTCGTTGCAAACGGGGTTTCTTCCTTTCATGCTAGACTAAGAAGAGTTCTCAGTAACTTTTTTGTGTTGTGTGTATTCAACTCACAGAGTTGAACCTTGCTTTAGAGAGAGCAGATTTGAAACACTCTTGCTGTGGCATTTTCAGGTGGAGATTTCAAGCGTTTTGAGGACAATTGCAGAAAAGGAAATATCTTCGTATAATAACCAGACAGAATCATTCTCAGAAAGTGCTTTGTGATGTGTGCGTTCAACTCACAGAGTTTAACCTTTCTTTTCATAGAGGAGTTTGGAAACACACTGTTTGTAAAGTCTGCAATTGGATATATGGACCTGTTTGAGGCCTTCGTTGGAAACGGGATTTCTTCATTGAATGCTAGACGGAAGAATTCTCAGTAAATTCTTTGTGTTGTGTGCATTCAACTCACAGAGTGGAACGTCCCTTTAGACAGAGCAGATTTGAAACACTCTTTTTGCGGAATTTGCAAGTGGAGATTTCTAGCCATTTGATGCCAACAGTAGAAAGGGAAATATCTTCAAATAAAAACCAGACAGAATCATTCTCAGAAAATTCTTTGTGATGTGTGCGTTCAACTCACATAGTTTAACCTTTCTTTTCATAGAGCAGTTTGGAAACACTCTGTTTGTAAAGTCTGCAAGTGGATATATGGACCGCATTGAGGCCTTCGTTGGAAACGGGATTTCTTCATTTCATGCTAGACAGAAGAATTCTCAGTAACTTCTTTGTGCTGTGTGTATTCAACTCACAGAGTGGAACGTCCCTTTGCACAGAGCAGATTTGAAACACTCTTTTTGTGGAGTTTGCAAGTGGAGATTTCAAGCGATTTGATGCCAACAGTAGAAAAGGAAATATCTTCAAATAAAAACTAGACAGAATCATTCTCAGAAACTACTTTGTGATGTGTGCCTTCAACTCACAGAGTTTAACCTTTCTTTTCTTAGAGCAGTTTAGAAACACTCTGCTTGTTATGTCTGCAAGTGGATATTTGGACCTCTTTGAGGCCTTCGTTGCAAACGGGGTTTCTTCCTTTCATGCTAGACTAAGAAGAGTTCTCAGTAACATTTTTGTGTTGTGTGTATTCAACTCACAGAGTTGAACCTTGCTTTAGAGAGAGCAGATTTGAAACACTCTTGCTGTGGCATTTTCAGGTGGAGATTTCAAGCGATTTGAGGACAATTGCAGAAAAGGAAATATCTTCGTATAACAACCAGACAGAATCATTCTCAGAAAGTGCTTTGTGATGTGTGCGTTCAACTCACAGAGTTTAACCTTTCTTTTCATAGAGGAGTTTGGAAACACACTGTTTGTAAAGTCTGCAATTGGATATATGGACCTGTTTGAGGCCTTCGTTGGAAACGGGATTTCTTCATTGCATGCTAGACGGAAGAATTCTCAGTAAATTCTTTGTGTTGTGTGCATTCAACTCACAGAGTGGAACGTCCCTTTAGACAGAGCAGATTTGAAACACTCTTTTTGTGGAGTTTGCAAGTGGAGATTTCAAGCGATTTGATGCCAACAGTAGAAAAGGAAATATCTTCAAATAAAAACTAGACAGAATCATTCTCAGAAACTACTTTGTGATGTGTGCCTTCAACTCACAGAGTTTAACCTTTCTTTTCTTAGAGCAGTTTAGAAACACTCTGCTTGTTATGTCTGCAAGTGGATATTTGGACCTCTTTGAGGCCTTCGTTGCAAACGGGGTTTCTTCCTTTCATGCTAGACTAAGAAGAGTTCTCAGTAACTTTTTTGTGTTGTGTGTATTCAACTCACAGAGTTGAACCTTGCTTTAGAGAGAGCAGATTTGAAACACTCTTGCTGTGGCATTTTCAGGTGGAGATTTCAAGCGTTTTGAGGACAATTGCAGAAAAGGAAATATCTTCGTATAATAACCAGACAGAATCATTCTCAGAAAGTGCTTTGTGTTGTGTGCGTTCAACTCACAGAGTTTAACCTTTCTTTTCATAGAGGAGTTTGGAAACACACTGTTTGTAAAGTCTGCAATTGGATATATGGACCTGTTTGAGGCCTTCGTTGGAAACGGGATTTCTTCATTGAATGCTAGACGGAAGAATTCTCAGTAAATTCTTTGTGTGGTGTGCATTCAACTCACAGAGTGGAACGTCCCTTTAGACAGAGCAGATTTGAAACACTCTTTTTGCGGAATTTGCAAGTGGAGATTTCTAGCCATTTGATGCCAACAGTAGAAAGGGAAATATCTTCAAATAAAAACCAGACAGAATCATTCTCAGAAAATTCTTTGTGATGTGTGCGTTCAACTCACATAGTTTAACCTTTCTTTTCATAGAGCAGTTTGGAAACACTCTGTTTGTAAAGTCTGCAAGTGGATATATGGACCGCATTGAGGCCTTCGTTGGAAACGGGATTTCTTCATTTCATGCTAGACAGAAGAATTCTCAGTAACTTCTTTGTGCTGTGTGTATTCAACTCACAGAGGGGAACGTCCCTTTGCACAGAGCAGATTTGAAACACTCTTTTTGTGGAGTTTGCAAGTGGAGATTTCAAGCGATTTGATGCCAACAGTAGAAAAGGAAATATCTTCAAATAAAAACTAGACAGAATCATTCTCAGAAACTACTTTGTGATGTGTGCCTTCAACTCACAGAGTTTAACCTTTCTTTTCTTAGAGCAGTTTAGAAACACTCTGCTTGTTATGTCTGCAAGTGGATATTTGGACCTCTTTGAGGCCTTCGTTGCAAACGGGGTTTCTTCCTTTCATGCTAGACTAAGAAGAGTTCTCAGTAACTTTTTTGTGTTGTGTGTATTCAACTCACAGAGTTGAACCTTGCTTTAGAGAGAGCAGATTTGAAACACTCTTGCTGTGGCATTTTCAGGTGGAGATTTCAAGCGATTTGAGGACAATTGCAGAAAAGGAAATATCTTCGTATAACAACCAGACAGAATCATTCTCAGAAAGTGCTTTGTGATGTGTGCGTTCAACTCACAGAGTTTAACCTTTCTTTTCATAGAAGAGTTTGGAAACACACTGTTTGTAAAGTCTGCTAGTGGATATATGGACCTGTTTGAGGCCTTCGTTGGAAACGGGATTTCTTCATTTCATGCTAGACAGAAGAATTCTCAGTAAATTCTTTGTGTTGTGTGCATTCAACTCACAGAGTGGAACGTCCCTTTAGACAGAGCAGATTTGAAACACTCTTTTTGCGGAATTTGCAAGTGGAGATTTCTAGCCATTTGATGCCAACAGTAGAAAGGGAAATATCTTCAAATAAAAACCAGACAGAATCATTCTCAGAAAATTCTTTGTGATGTGTGCGTTCAACTCACATAGTTTAACCTTTCTTTTCATAGAGCAGTTTGGAAACACTCTGTTTGTAAAGTCTGCAAGTGGATATATGGACCGCATTGAGGCCTTCGTTGGAAACGGGATTTCTTCATTTCATGCTAGACAGAAGAATTCTCAGTAACTTCTTTGTGCTGTGTGTATTCAACTCACAGAGTGGAACGTCCCTTTGCACAGAGCAGATTTGAAACACTCTTTTTGTGGAATTTGCAAGTGGAGATTTCAAGCGATTTGATGCCAACAGTAGAAAAGGAAATATCTTCAAATAAAAACTAGACAGAATCATTCTCAGAAACTACTTTGTGATGTGTGCCTTCAACTCACAGAGTTTAACCTTTCTTTTCTTAGAGCAGTTTAGAAACACTCTGCTTGTTATGTCTGCAAGTGGATATTTGGACCTCTTTTAGGCCTTCGTTGCAAACGGGGTTTCTTCCTTTAATGCTAGACTAAGAAGAGTTCTCAGTAACTTTTTTGTGTTGTGTGTATTCAACTCACAGAGTTGAACCTTGCTTTAGAGAGAGCAGATTTGAAACACTCTTGCTGTGGCATTTTCAGGTGGAGATTTCAAGCGATTTGAGGACAATTGCAGAAAAGGAAATATCTTCGTATAATAACCAGACAGAATCATTCTCAGGAAGTGCTTTGTGATGTGTGCGTTCCACTCACAGAGTTTAACCTTTCTTTTCATAGAGGAGTTTGGAAACACACTGTTTGTAAAGTCTGCAAGTGGATATATGGACGTGTTTGAGGCCTTCGTTGGAAACGGGATTTCTTCATTGAATGCTAGACGGAAGAATTCTCAGTAAATTCTTTGTGTTGTGTGCATTCAACTCACAGAGTGGAACGTCCCTTTAGACAGAGCAGATTTGAAACACTCTTTTTGCGGAATTTGCAAGTGGAGATTTCTAGCCATTTGATGCCAACAGTAGAAAGGGAAATATCTTCAAATAAAAACCAGACAGAAATCATTCTCAGAAAATTCTTTGTGATGTGTGCGTTCAACTCACATAGTTTAACCTTTCTTTTCATAGAGCAGTTTGGAAACACTCTGTTTGTAAAGTCTGCAAGTGGATATATGGACCGCATTGAGGCCTTCGTTGGAAACGGGATTTCTTCATTTCATGCTAGACAGAAGAATTCTCAGTAACTTCTTTGTGCTGTGTGTATTCAACTCACAGAGTGGAACGTCCCTTTGCACAGAGCAGATTTGAAACACTCTTTTTGTGGAGTTTGCAAGTGGAGATTTCAAGCGATTTGATGCCAACAGTAGAAAAGGAAATATCTTCAAATAAAAACTAGACAGAATCATTCTCAGAAACTACTTTGTGATGTGTGCCTTCAACTCACAGAGTTTAACCTTTCTTTTCTTAGAGCAGTTTAGAAACACTCTGCTTGTTATGTCTGCAAGTGGATATTTGGACCTCTTTGAGGCCTTCGTTGCAAACGGGGTTTCTTCCTTTCATGCTAGACTAAGAAGAGTTCTCAGTAACTTTTTTGTGTTGTGTGTATTCAACTCACAGAGTTGAACCTTGCTTTAGAGAGAGCAGATTTGAAACACTCTTGCTGTGGCATTTTCAGGTGGAGATTTCAAGCGTTTTGAGGACAATTGCAGAAAAGGAAATATCTTCGTATAATAACCAGACAGAATCATTCTCAGAAAATTCTTTGTGATGTGTGCGTTCAACTCACATAGTTTAACCTTTCTTTTCATAGAGGAGTTTGGAAACACTCTGTTTGTAAAGTCTGCAAGTGGATATATGGACCTGTTTGAGGCCTTCGTTGGAAACGGGATTTCTTCATTGAATGCTAGACGGAAGAATTCTCAGTAAATTCTTTGTGTTGTGTGCATTCAACTGACAGAGTGGAACGTCCCTTTAGACAGAGCAGATTTGAAACACTCTTTTTGCGGAATTTGCAAGTGGAGATTTCTAGCCATTTGATGCCAACAGTAGAAAGGGAAACATCTTCAAATAAAAACCAGACAGAATCATTCTCAGAAAATTCTTTGTGATGTGTGCGTTCAACTCACATAGTTTAACCTTTCTTTTCATAGAGCAGTTTGGAAACACTCTGTTTGTAAAGTCTGCAAGTGGATATATGGACCGCATTGAGGCCTTCGTTGGAAACGGGATTTCTTCATTTCATGCTAGACAGAAGAATTCTCAGTAACTTCTTTGTGCTGTGTGTATTCAACTCACAGAGTGGAACGTCCCTTTGCACAGAGCAGATTTGAAACACTCTTTTTGTGGAATTTGCAAGTGGAGATTTCAAGCGATTTGATGCCAACAGTAGAAAAGGAAATATCTTCAAATAAAAACTAGACAGAATCATTCTCAGAAACTACTTTGTGATGTGTGCCTTCAACTCACAGAGTTTAACCTTTCTTTTCTTAGAGCAGTTTAGAAACACTCTGCTTGTTATGTCTGCAAGTGGATATTTGGACCTCTTTGAGGCCTTCGTTGCAAACGGGGTTTCTTCCTTTCATGCTAGACTAAGAAGAATTCTCAGTAACTTCTTTGTGCTGTGTGTATTCAACTCACAGAGTTGAACCTTGCTTTAGAGAGAGCAGATTTGAAACACTCTTGCTGTGGCATTTTCAGGTGGAGATTTCAAGCGATTTGAGGACAATTGCAGAAAAGGAAATATCTTCGTATAATAACCAGACAGAATCATTCTCAGAAAGTGCTTTGTGATGTGTGCGTTCCACTCACAGAGTTTAACCTTTCTTTTCATAGAGGAGTTTGGAAACACACTGTTTGTAAAGTCTGCAAGTGGATATATGGACCTGTTTGAGGCCTTCGTTGGAAACGGGATTTCTTCATTGAATGCTAGACGGAAGAATTCTCAGTAAATTCTTTGTGTTGAGTGCATTCAACTCACAGAGTGGAACGTCCCTTTAGACAGAGCAGATTTGAAACACTCTTTTTGCGGAATTTGCAAGTGGAGATTTCTAGCCATTTGATGCCAACAGTAGAAAGGGAAATATCTTCAAATAAAAAACAGACAGAATCATTCTCAGAAAATTCTTTGTGATGTGTGCGTTCAACTCACATAGTTTAACCTTTCTTTTCATAGAGCAGTTTGGAAACACTCTGTTTGTAAAGTCTGCAAGTGGATATATGGACCGCATTGAGGCCTTCGTTGGAAACGGGATTTCTTCATTTCATGCTAGACAGAAGAATTCTCAGTAACTTCTTTGTGCTGTGTGTATTCAACTCACAGAGTGGAACGTCCCTTTACACAGAGCAGATTTGAAACACTCTTTTTGTGGAGTTTGCAAGTGGAGATTTCAAGCGATTTGATGCCAACAGTAGAAAAGGAAATATCTTCAAATAAAAACTAGACAGAATCATTCTCAGAAACTACTTTGTGATGTGTGCCTTCAACTCACAGAGTTTAACCTTTCTTTTCTTAGAGCAGTTTAGAAACACTCTGCTTGTTATGTCTGCAAGTGGATATTTGGACCTCTTTGAGGCCTTCGTTGCAAACGGGGTTTCTTCCTTTCATGCTAGACTAAGAAGAGTTCTCAGTAACTTTTTTGTGTTGTGTGTATTCAACTCACAGAGTTGAACCTTGCTTTAGAGAGAGCAGATTTGAAACACTCTTGCTGTGGCATTTTCAGGTGGAGATTTCAAGCGATTTGAGGACAATTGCAGAAAAGGAAATATCTTCGTATAATAACCAGACAGAATCATTCTCAGAAAGTGCTTTGTGATGTGTGCGTTCAACTCACAGAGTTTAACTTTTCTTTCCATAGAGGAGTTTGGAAACACACTGTTTGTAAAGTCTGCAAGTGGATATATGGACCTGTTTGAGGCCTTCGTTGGAAACGGGATTTCTTCATTGAATGCTAGACGGAAGAATTCTCAGTAAATTCTTTGTGTTGTGTGCATTCAACTCACAGAGTGGAACGTCCCTTTAGACAGAGCAGATTTGAAACACTCTTTTTGCGGAATTTGCAAGTGGAGATTTCTAGCCATTTGATGCCAACAGTAGAAAGGGAAATATCTTCAAATAAAAACCAGACAGAATCATTCTCAGAAAATTCTTTGTGATGTGTGCGTTCAACTCACATAGTTTAACCTTTCTTTTCATAGAGCAGTTTGGAAACACTCTGTTTGTAAAGTCTGCAAGTGGATATATGGACCGCATTGAGGCCTTCGTTGGAAACGGGATTTCTTCATTTCATGCTAGACAGAAGAATTCTCAGTAACTTCTTTGTGCTGTGTGTATTCAACTCACAGAGTGGAACGTCCCTTTGCACAGAGCAGATTTGAAACACTCTTTTTGTGGAGTTTGCAAGTGGATATTTCAAGCGATTTGATGCCAACAGTAGAAAAGGAAATATCTTCAAATAAAAACTAGACCGAATCATTCTCAGAAATTACTTTGTGATGTGTGCCTTCAACTCACAGAGTTTAACCTTTCCTTTCTTATAGCAGTTTAGAAACACTCTGCTTGTTATGTCTCCAAATGGATATTTGGACCTCTTTGAGGCCTTCGTTGCAAACGGGATTTCTTCATTTAATGCTAGCCTAAGAAGAGTTCTCAGTAACTTCTTTGTGTTGTGTGTATTCAACTCACAGTGTTGAACCTTGCTTTAGAGAGAGCAGATTTGAAACACTCTTGCTGTGGCATTTTCAGGTGGAGATTTCAAGCGATTTGAGGACAATTGCAGAAAAGGAAATATCTTCGTATAAAAACCAGACAGAATCATTCTCAGGAAGTGCTTTGTGA
The DNA here is from genome assembly GCF_000001405.40 of Homo sapiens. Classification (NCBI taxonomy): domain Eukaryota; kingdom Metazoa; phylum Chordata; class Mammalia; order Primates; family Hominidae; genus Homo; species Homo sapiens. Next base: position 60,572,212 of record NC_000007.14, read on the forward strand.
TGTGTGCGTTCAACTCACAGAGTTTAACCTTTCTTTTCATAGAGGAGTTTGGAAACACACTGTTTGTAAAGTCTGCAAGTGGATATATGGACCTGTTTGAGGCCTTCGTTGGAAACGGGATTTCTTCATTGAATGCTAGACGGAAGAATTCTCAGTAAATTCTTTGTGTTGTGTGCATTCAACTCACAGAGTGGAACGTCCCTTTAGACAGAGCAGATTTGAAACACTCTTTTTGCGGAATTTGCAACTGGAGATTTCTAGCCATTTGATGCCAACAGTAGAAAGGGAAACATCTTCAAATAAAAACCAGACAGAATCATTCTCAGAAAATTCTTTGTGATGTGTGCGTTCAACTCACATAGTTTAACCTTTCTTTTCATAGAGCAGTTTGGAAACACTCTGTTTGTAAAGTCTGCAAGTGGATATATGGACCGCATTGAGGCCTTCGTTGGAAACGGGATTTCTTCATTTCATGCTAGACAGAAGAATTCTCAGTAACTTCTTTGTGCTGTGTGTATTCAACTCACAGAGTGGAACGTCCCTTTGCACAGAGCAGACTTGAAACACTCTTTTTGTGGAATTTGTAAGTGGAGATTTCAAGCGATTTGATGCCAACAGTAGAAAAGGAAATATCTTCAAATAAAAACTAGACAGAATCATTCTCAGAAACTACTTTGTGATGTGTGCCTTCAACTCACAGAGTTTAACCTTTCTTTTCTTAGAGCAGTTTAGAAACACTCTGCTTGTTATGTCTGCAAGTGGATATTTGGACCTCTTTGAGGCCTTCGTTGCAAACGGGGTTTCTTCCTTTAATGCTAGACTAAGAAGAGTTCTCAGTAACTTTTTTGTGTTGTGTTTATTCAACTCACAGAGTTGAACCTTGCTTTAGAGAGAGCAGATTTGAAACACTCTTGCTGTGGAATTTTCAGGTGGAGATTTCAGGCGATTTGAGGACAATTGCAGAAAAGGAAATATCTTCGTATAATAACCAGACAGAATCATTCTCAGAAAGTGCTTTGTGATGCTTGCGTTCAACTCACAGAGCTTAACCTTTCTGATCATAGAGCAGTTTGGAAACATACTGTTTGTAAAGTCTGCAAGTGGATATTTGGACCTGTTTGAGGCCTTCCTTGGAAAAGGGATTTTTTCATATAATGCTAGACGGAAGAATTCTCAGTAAACTCTTTGTGTTGCGTGCATTCAAATCACAGAGTGGAACGTCCCTTTAGAGAGAGCAGATTTGAAACACTCCTTTTGTGAATTTGGCAGGGGAGATTTCAAGCGATTTGATGCCAACAGCAGAAAAGGAAATATCTTCAAATAAAAGCTAGACAGAATCATTCTCAGAAAATTCTTTGTGATGTGTGCGTTCAGCTCACATAGTTTAACCTCTCTTTTCATAGAGCAGTTTGGAAACACACTGTTGGTAAAATCTGCCAGTGGATATATGGACCGCTTTGAGGCATTCGTTGGAAACGGGATTTCTTCATTGAATGCTAGACCGAAGAATTCTCAGTAAATTCTTGGTGTTGTGTGCATTCAACTCACAGAGTGGAACGTCCCTTTAGACAGAGCAGATTTGAAACACTCTTTTTGCGGAATTTGCAAGTGGAGATTTCAAGCCATTTGATGCCAACAGTAGAAAGGGAAATATCTTCAAATAAAAACTAGACAGAATCATTCTCAGAAAATTCTTTGTGATGTGTGCGTTCAACTCACATAGTTTAACCTTTCTTTTCACAGAGCAGTTTGGAAACACTCTGTTTGTAAAATCTGCAAGTAGATATATGGACCGATTTGAGGCCTTCGTTGGAAACGGGATTTCTTCATTTATTGCTAGACAGAAGAATTCTCAGTAACTTCTTTGTGCTGTGTGTATTGAACTCACAGAGTGGAACGTCCCTTTGCACAGAGCAGATTTGAAACACTCTTTTTGTGGAATTTGCAAGTGGAGATTTCAAGCGATCTGATGCCAACAGTAGAAAAGGAAATATCTTCAAATAAAAACTAGACAGAATCATTCTCAGAAACTACTTTGTGATGTGTGCCTTCAACTCACAGAGTTTAACCTTTCTTTTCTTAGAGCAGTTTAGAAACACTCTGCTTGTTATGTCTGCAAGTGGATATTTGGACCTCTTTGAGGCCTTCGTTGCAAACGGGGTTTCTTCCTTTCATGCTAGACTAAGAAGAGTTCTCAGTAACTTTTTTGTGTTGTGTGTATTCAACTCACAGAGTTGAACCTTGCTTTAGAGAGAGCAGATTTGAAACACTCTTGCTGTGGCATTTTCAGGTGGAGATTTCAAGCGATTTGAGGACAATTACAGAAAAGGAAATATCTTCGTATAACAACCAGACAGAATCATTCTCAGAAAGTGCTTTGTGATGTGTGCGTTCAACTCACAGAGTTTAACCTTTCTTTTCATAGAGGAGTTTGGAAACACACTGTTTGTAAAGTCTGCAATTGGATATATGGACCTGTTTGAGGCCTTCTTTGGAAACGGGATTTCTTCATTGAATGCTAGACGGAAGAATTCTCAGTAAATTCTTTGTGTTGTGTGCATTCAACTCACAGAGTGGAACGTCCCTTTAGACAGAGCAGATTTGAAACACTCTTTTTGCGGAATTTGCAAGTGGAGATTTCTAGCCATTTGATGCCAACAGTAGAAAGGGAAATATCTTCAAATAAAAACCAGACAGAATCATTCTCAGAAAATTCTTTGTGATGTGTGCGTTCAACTCACATAGTTTAACCTTTCTTTTCATAGAGCAGTTTGGAAACACTCTGTTTGTAAAGTCTGCAAGTGGATCTATGGACCGCATTGAGGCCTTCGTTGGAAACGGGATTTCTTCATTTCATGCTAGACAGAAGAATTCTCAGTAACTTCTTTGTGCTGTGTGTATTCAACTCACAGAGTGGAACGTCCCTTTGCACAGAGCAGATTTGAAACACTCTTTTTGTGGAGTTTGCAAGTGGAGATTTCAAGCGATTTGATGCCAACAGTAGAAAAGGAAATATCTTCAAATAAAAACTAGACAGAATCATTCTCAGAAACTACTTTGTGATGTGTGCCTTCAACTCACAGAGTTTAACCTTTCTTTTCTTAGAGCAGTTTAGAAACACTCTGCTTGTTATGTCTGCAAGTGGATATTTGGACCTCTTTGAGGCCTTCGTTGCAAACGGGGTTTCTTCCTTTCATGCTAGACTAAGAAGAGTTCTCAGTAACTTTTTTGTGTTGTGTGTATTCAACTCACAGAGTTGAACCTTGCTTTAGAGAGAGCAGATTTGAAACACTCTTGCTGTGGCATTTTCAGGTGGAGATTTCAAGCGTTTTGAGGACAATTGCAGAAAAGGAAATATCTTCGTATAATAACCAGACAGAATCATTCTCAGAAAGTGCTTTGTGATGTGTGCGTTCAACTCACAGAGTTTAACCTTTCTTTTCATAGAGGAGTTTGGAAACACACTGTTTGTAAAGTCTGCAATTGGATATATGGACCTGTTTGAGGCCTTCTTTGGAAACGGGATTTCTTCATTGAATGCAAGGCGGAAGAATTCTCAGTAAATTCTTTGTGTTGTGTGCATTCAACTCACAGAGTGGAACGTCCCTTTAGACAGAGCAGATTTGAAACACTCTTTTTGCGGAATTTGCAAGTGGAGATTTCTAGCCATTTGATGCCAACAGTAGAAAGGGAAATATCTTCAAATAAAAACCAGACAGAATCATTCTCAGAAAATTCTTTGTGATGTGTGCGTTCAACTCACATAGTTTAACCTTTCTTTTCATAGAGCAGTTTGGAAACACTCTGTTTGTAAAGTCTGCAAGTGGATATATGGACCGCATTGAGGCCTTCGTTGGAAACGGGATTTCTTCATTTCATGCTAGACAGAAGAATTCTCAGTAACTTCTTTGTGCTGTGTGTATTCAACTCACAGAGTGGAACGTCCCTTTGCACAGAGCAGATTTGAAACACTCTTTTTGTGGAATTTGCAAGTGGAGATTTCAAGCGATTTGATGCCAACAGTAGAAAAGGAAATATCTTCAAATAAAAACTAGACAGAATCATTCTCAGAAACTACTTTGTGATGTGTGCCTTCAACTCACAGAGTTTAACCTTTCTTTTCATAGAGCAGTTTAGAAACACTCTGCTTGTTATGTCTGCAAGTGGATATTTGGACCTCTTTGAGGCCTTCGTTGCAAACGGGGTTTCTTCCTTTCATGCTAGACTAAGAAGAGTTCTCAGTAACTTTTCTGTGTTGTGTGTATTCAACTCACAGAGTTGAACCTTGCTTTAGAGAGAGCAGATTTGAAACACTCTTGCTGTGGCATTTTCAGGTGGAGATTTCAAGCGTTTTGAGGACAATTGCAGAAAAGGAAATATCTTCGTATAATAACCAGACAGAATCATTCTCAGAAAGTGCTTTGTGATGTGTGCGTTCAACTCACAGAGTTTAACCTTTCTTTTCATAGAGGAGTTTGGAAACACACTGTTTGTAAAGTCTGCAATTGGATATATGGACCTGTTTGAGGCCTTCTTTGGAAACGGGATTTCTTCATTGAATGCTAGACGGAAGAATTCTCAGTAAATTCTTTGTGTTGTGTGCATTCAACTCACAGAGTGGAACGTCCCTTTAGACAGAGCAGATTTGAAACACTCTTTTTGCGGAATTTGCAAGTGGAGATTTCTAGCCATTTGATGCCAACAGTAGAAAGGGAAATATCTTCAAATAAAAACCAGACAGAATCATTCTCAGAAAATTCTTTGTGATGTGTGCGTTCAACTCACATAGTTTAACCTTTCTTTTCATAGAGCAGTTTGGAAACACTCTGTTTGTAAAGTCTGCAAGTGGATATATGGACCGCATTGAGGCCTTCGTTGGAAACGGGATTTCTTCATTTCATGCTAGACAGAAGAATTCTCAGTAACTTCTTTGTGCTGTGTGTATTCAACTCACAGAGTGGAACGTCCCTTTGCACAGAGCAGATTTGAAACACTCTTTTTGTGGAATTTGCAAGTGGAGATTTCAAGCGATTTGATGCCAACAGTAGAAAAGGAAATATCTTCAAATAAAAACTAGACAGAATCATTCTCAGAAACTACTTTGTGACGTGTGCCTTCAACTCCCAGAGTTTAACCTTTCTTTTCTTAGAGCAGTTTAGAAACACTCTGCTTGTTATGTCTGCAAGTGGATATTTGGACCTCTTTGAGGCCTTCGTTGCAAACGGGGTTTCTTCCTTTCATGCTAGACTAAGAAGAGTTCTCAGTAACTTTTTTGTGTTGTGTGTATTCAACTCACAGAGTTGAACCTTGCTTTAGAGAGAGCAGATTTGAAACACTCTTGCTGTGGCATTTTCAGGTGGAGATTTCAAGCGATTTGAGGACAATTGCAGAAAAGGAAATATCTTCGTATAATAACCAGACAGAATCATTCTCAGAAAGTGCTTTGTGATGTGTGCGTTCAACTCACAGAGTTTAACCTTTCTTTTCATAGAGGAGTTTGGAAACACACTGTTTGTAAAGTCTGCAATTGGATATATGGACCTGTTTGAGGCCTTCTTTGGAAACGGGATTTCTTCATTGAATGCTAGACGGAAGAATTCTCAGTAAATTCTTTGTGTTGTGTGCATTCAACTCACAGAGTGGAACGTCCCTTTAGACAGAGCAGATTTGAAACACTCTTTTTGCGGAATTTGCAAGTGGAGATTTCTAGCCATTTGATGCCAACAGTAGAAAGGGAAATATCTTCAAATAAAAACCAGACAGAATCATTCTCAGAAAATTCTTTGTGATGTGTGCGTTCAACTCACATAGTTTAACCTTTCTTTTCATAGAGCAGTTTGGAAACACTCTGTTTGTAAAGTCTGCAAGTGGATATATGGACCGCATTGAGGCCTTCGTTGGAAACGGGATTTCTTCATTTCATGCTAGACAGAAGAATTCTCAGTAACTTCTTTGTGCTGTGTGTATTCAACTCACAAGAGTGGAACGTTCCTTTACACAGAACAGATTTGAAACACTCTTTTTGTGGAATTTGCAAGTGGAGATTTCAAGCGATTTGATGCCAACAGTAGAAAAGGAAATATCTTCAAATAAAAACTAGACAGAATCATTCTCAGAAACTACTTTGTGATGTGTGCCTTCAACTCACAGAGTTTAACCTTTCTTTTCTTAGAGCAGTTTAGAAACACTCTGCTTGTTATGTCTGCAAGTGGATATTTGGACCTCTTTGAGGCCTTCGTTGCAAACGGGGTTTCTTCCTTTCATGCTAGACTAAGAAGAGTTCTCAGTAACTTTTTTGTGTTGTGTGTATTCAACTCACAGAGTTGAACCTTGCTTTAGAGAGAGCAGATTTGAAACACTCTTGCTGTGGCATTTTCAGGTGGAGATTTCAAGCGATTTGAGGACAATTGCAGAAAAGGAAATATCTTCGTATAATAACCAGACAGAATCATTCTCAGAAAGTGCTTTGTGATGTGTGCGTTCAACTCACAGAGTTTAACCTTTCTTTTCATAGAGGAGCTTGGAAACACACTGTTTGTAAAGTCTGCAATTGGATATATGGACCGCATTGAGGCCTCCGTTGGAAACGGGATTTCTTCATTGAATGCTAGACGGAAGAATTCTCAGTAAATTCTTTGTGTTGTGTGCATTGAACTCACAGAGTGGAACGTCCCTTTACACAGAGCAGATTTGAAACACTCTTTTTGCGGAATTTGCAAGTGGAGATTTCTAGCCATTTGATGCCAACAGTAGAAAGGGAAATATCTTCAAATAAAAACCAGACAGAATCATTCTCAGAAAATTCTTTGTGATGTGTGCCTTCAACTCACAGAGTTTAACCTTTCTTTTCTTAGAGCAGTTTAGAAACACTCTGCTTGTTATGTCTGCAAGTGGATATTTTTACCTCTTTGAGGCCTTCGTTGCAAACGGGGTTTTTTCCTTTAATGCTAGACTAAGAAGAGTTCTCAGTAACTTTTTTGTGTTGTGTGTATTCAACTCACAGAGTTGAACCTTGCTTTAGAGAGAGCAGATTTGAAACACTCTTGCTGTGGCATTTTCAGGTGGAGATTTCAAGCGATTTGAGGACAATTGCAGAAAAGGAAATATCTTCGTATAATAACCAGACAGAATCATTCTCAGAAAGTGCTTTGTGATGTGTGCGTTCAACTCACAGAGTTTAACCTTTCTTTTCATAGAGGAGTTTGGAAACACACTGTTTGTAAAGTCTGCAAGTGGATATATGGACCTGTTTGAGGCCTTCGTTGGAAACGGGATTTCTTCATTGAATGCTAGACGGAAGAATTCTCAGTAAATTCTTTGTGTTGTGTGCATTCAACTCACAGAGTGGAACGTCCCTTTAGACAGAGCAGATTTGAAACACTCTTTTTGCGGAATTTGCAAGTGGAGATTTCTAGCCATTTGATGCCAACAGTAGAAAGGGAAATATCTTCAAATAAAAACCAGACAGAATCATTCTCAGAAAATTCTTTGTGATGTGTGCGTTCAACTCACATAGTTTAACCTTTCTTTTCATAGAGCAGTTTGGAAACACTCTGTTTGTAAAGTCTGGCAAGTGGATATATGGACCGCATTGAGGCCTTCGTTGGAAACGGGATTTCTTCATTTCATGCTAGACAGAAGAATTCTCAGTAACTTCTTTGTGCTGTGTGTATTCAACTCACAGAGTGGAACGTCCCTTTACACAGAGCAGATTTGAAACACTCTTTTTGTGGAGTTTGCAAGTGGAGATTTCAAGCGATTTGATGCCAACAGTAGAAAAGGAAATATCTTCAAATAAAAACTAGACAGAATCATTCTCAGAAACTACTTTGTGATGTGTGCCTTCAACTCACAGAGTTTAACCTTTCTTTTCTTAGAGCAGTTTAGAAACACTCTGCTTGTTATGTCTGCAAGTGGATATTTGGACCTCTTTGAGGCCTTCGTTGCAAACGGGGTTTCTTCCTTTCATGCTAGACTAAGAAGAGTTCTCAGTAACTTTTTTGTGTTGTGTGTATTCAACTCACAGAGTTGAACCTTGCTTTAGAGAGAGCAGATTTGAAACACTCTTGCTGTGGCATTTTCAGGTGGAGATTTCAAGCGATTTGAGGACAATTGCAGAAAAGGAAATATCTTCGTATAATAACCAGACAGAATCATTCTCAGAAAGTGCTTTGTGATGTGTGCGTTCAACTCACAGAGTTTAACCTTTCTTTTCATAGAGGAGTTTGGAAACACACTGTTTGTAAAGTCTGCAATTGGATATATGGACCTGTTTGAGGCCTTCGTTGGAAACGGGATTTCTTCATTGAATGCTAGACGGAAGAATTCTCAGTAAATTCTTTGTGTTGTGTGCATTCAACTCACAGAGTGGAACGTCCCTTTAGACAGAGCAGATTTGAAACACTCTTTTTGCGGAATTTGCAAGTGGAGATTTCTAGCCATTTGATGCCAACAGTAGAAAGGGAAATATCTTCAAATAAAAACCAGACAGAATCATTCTCAGAAAATTCTTTGTGATGTGTGCGTTCAACTCACATAGTTTAACCTTTCTTTTCATAGAGCAGTTTGGAAACACTCTGTTTGTAAAGTCTGCAAGTGGATATATGGACCGCATTGAGGCCTTCGTTGGAAACGGGATTTCTTCATTTCATGCTAGACAGAAGAATTCTCAGTAACTTCTTTGTGCTGTGTGTATTCAACTCACAGAGTGGAACGTCCCTTTGCACAGAGCAGATTTGAAACACTCTTTTTGTGGAATTTGCAAGTGGAGATTTCAAGCGATTTGATGCCAACAGTAGAAAAGGAAATATCTTCAAATAAAAACTAGACAGAATCATTCTCAGAAACTACTTTGTGATGTGTGCCTTCAACTCACAGAGTTTAACCTTTCTTTTCTTAGAGCAGTTTAGAAACACTCTGCTTGTTATGTCTGCAAGTGGATATTTGGACCTCTTTGAGGCCTTCGTTGCAAACGGGGTTTCTTCCTTTCATGCTAGACTAAGAAGAGTTCTCAGTAACATTTTTGTGTTGTGTGTATTCAACTCACAGAGTTGAACCTTGCTTTAGAGAGAGCAGATTTGAAACACTCTTGCTGTGGCATTTTCAGGTGGAGATTTCAAGCGATTTGAGGACAATTGCAGAAAAGGAAATATCTTCGTATAACAACCAGACAGAATCATTCTCAGAAAGTGCTTTGTGATGTGTGCGTTCAGCTCTCAGAGTTTAATCTTTCTTTTCATAGTGGAGTTTGGAAACACACTGTTTGTAAAGTCTGCAATTGGATATATGGACCTGTTTGAGGCCTTCGTTGGAAACGGGATTTCTTCATTGAATGCTAGACGGAAGAATTCTCAGTAAATTCTTCGTGTTGTGTGCATTCAACTCACAGAGTGGAACGTCCCTTTAGACAGAGCAGATTTGAAACACTCTTTTTGCGGAATTTGCAAGTGGAGATTTCTAGCCATTTGATGCCAACAGTAGAAAGGGAAATATCTTCAAATAAAAACCAGACAGAATCATTCTCAGAAAATTCTTTGTGATGTGTGCGTTCAACTCACATAGTTTAACCTTTCTTTTCATAGAGCAGTTTGGAAACTCTCTGTTTGTAAAGTCTGCAAGTGGATATATAGACCGCATTGAGGCCTTCGTTGGAAACGGGATTTCTTCATTTCGTGCTAGACAGAAGAATTCTCAGTAACTTCTTTGTGCTGTGTGTATTCAACTCACAGAGTGGAACGTCCCTTTACACAGAGCAGATTTGAAACACTCTTTTTGTGGAGTTTGCAAGTGGAGATTTCAAGCGATTTGATGCCAACAGTAGAAAAGGAAATATCTTCAAATAAAAACTAGACAGAATCATTCTCAGAAACTACTTTGTGATGTGTGCCTTCAACTCACAGAGTTTAACCTTTCTTTTCTTAGAGCAGTTTAGAAACACTCTGCTTCTTATGTCTGCAAGTGGATATTTGGACCTCTTTGAGGCCTTCGTTGCAAACGGGATTTCTTCCTTTAATGCTAGACTAAGAAGAGTTCTCAGTAACTTTTTTGTGTTGTGTGTATTCAACTCACAGAGTTGAACCTTGCTTTAGAGAGAGCAGATTTGAAACACTCTTGCTGTGGCATTTTCAGGTGGAGATTTCAAGCGATTTGAGGACAATTGCAGAAAAGGAAATATCTTCGTATAATAACCAGACAGAATCATTCTCAGAAAGTGCTTTGTGATGTGTGCGTTCAACTCACAGAGTTCAACCTTTCTTTTCATAGAGGAGTTTGGAAACACACTGTTTGTAAAGTCTGCAAGTGGATATATGGACCTGTTTGATGCCTTCGTTGGAAACGGGATTTTATCATATAATGCTAGACGGAAGAATTCTCAGTAAATTCTTTGTGTTGTGTGCATTCAACTCACAGAGTGGAACGTCCCTTTAGACAGAGCAGATTTGAAACACTCTTTTTGCGGAATTTGCAAGTGGAGATTTCTAGCCATTTGATGCCAACAGTAGAAAGGGAAATATCTTCAAATAAAAACCAGACAGAATCATTCTCAGAAAATTCTTTGTGATGTGTGCGTTCAACTCACAATAGTATAACCTTTCTTTTCATAGAGCAGTTTGGAAACACTCTGTTTGTAAAGTCTGCAAGTGGATATATGGACCGCATTGAGGCCTTCGTTGGAAACGGGATTTCTTCATTTCATGCTAGACAGAAGAATTCTCAGTAACTTCTTTGTGCTGTGTGTATTCAACTCACAGAGTGGAACGTCCCTTTGCACAGAGCAGATTTGAAACACTCTTTTTGTGGAGTTTGCAAGTGGAGATTTCAAGCGATTTGATGCCAACAGTAGAAAAGGAAATATCTTCAAATAAAAACTAGACAGAATCATTCTCAGCAAACTACTTTGTGATGTGTGCCTTTAACTCACAGAGTTTAACGCTTTCTTTTCTTAGAGCAGTTTAGAAACACTCTGCTTGTTATGTCTGCAAGTGGATATTTGGACCTCTTTGAGGCCTTCGTTGCAAACGGGGTTTCTTCCTTTCATGCTAGACTAAGAAGAGTTCTCAGTAACTTTTTTGTGTTGTGTGTATTCAACTCACAGAGTTGAACCTTGCTTTAGAGAGAGCAGATTTGAAACACTCTTGCTGTGGCATTTTCAGGTGGAGATTTCAAGCGATTTGAGGACAATTGCAGAAAAGGAAATATCTTCGTATAATAACCAGACAGAATCATTCTCAGAAAGTGCTTTGTGATGTGTGCGTTCAACTCACAGAGTTTAACCTTTCTTTTCATAGAGGAGTTTGGAAACACACTGTTTGTAATGTCTGCAAGTGGATATATGGACCTGTTTGAGGCCTTCGTTGGAAACGGGATTTCTTCATTGAATGCTAGACGGAAGAATTCTCAGTAAATTCTTTGTGTTGTGTGCATTCAACTCACAGAGTGGAACGTCCCTTTAGACAGAGCAGATTTGAAACACTCTTTTTGCGGAATTTGCAAGTGGAGATTTCTAGCCATTTGATGCCAACAGTAGAAAGGGAAATATCTTCAAATAAAAACCAGACAGAATCATTCTCAGAAAATTCTTTGTGATGTGTGCGTTCAACTCACATAGTTTAACCTTTCTTTTCATAGAGCAGTTTGGAAACACTCTGTTTGTAAAGTCTGCAAGTGGATATATGGACCGCATTGAGGCCTTCGTTGGAAACGGGATTTCTTCATTTCATGCTAGACAGAAGAATTCTCAGTAACTTCTTTGTGCTGTGTGTATTCAACTCACAGAGTGGAACGTCCCTTTACACAGAGCAGATTTGAAACACTCTTTTTGTGGAGTTTGCAAGTGGAGATTTCAAGCGATTTGATGCCAACAGTAGAAAAGGAAATATCTTCAAATAAAAACTAGACAGAATCATTCTCAGAAACTACTTTGTGATGTGTGCCTTCAACTCACAGAGTTTAACCTTTCTTTTCTTAGAGCAGTTTAGAAACACTCTGCTTGTTATGTCTGCAAGTGGATATTTGGACCTCTTTGAGGCCTTCGTTGCAAACGGGGTTTCTTCCTTTCATGCTAGACTAAGAAGAGTTCTCAGTAACTTTTTTGTGTTGTGTGTATTCAACTCACAGAGTTGAACCTTGCTTTAGAGAGAGCAGATTTGAAACACTCTTGCTGTGGCATTTTCAGGTGGAGATTTCAAGCGTTTTGAGGACAATTGCAGAAAAGGAAATATCTTCGTATAATAACCAGACAGAATCATTCTCAGAAAGTGCTTTGTGATGTGTGCGTTCAACTCACAGAGTTTAATCTTTCTTTTCATAGAGGAGTTTGGAAACACACTGTTTGTAAAGTCTGCAATTGGATATATGGACCTGTTTGAGGCCTTCGTTGGAAACGGGATTTCTTCATTGAATGCTAGACGGAAGAATTCTCAGTAAATTCTTTGTGTTGTGTGCATTCAACTCACAGAGTGGAACGTCCCTTTAGACAGAGCAGATTTGAAACACTCTTTTTGCGGAATTTGCAAGTGGAGATTTCTAGCCATTTGATGCCAACAGTAGAAAGGGAAATATCTTCAAATAAAAACCAGACAGAATCATTCTCAGAAAATTCTTTGTGATGTGTGCGTTCAACTCACATAGTTTAACCTTTCTTTTCATAGAGCAGTTTGGAAACACTCTGTTTGTAAAGTCTGCAAGTGGATATATGGACCGCATTGAGGCCTTCGTTGGAAACGGGATTTCTTCATTTCATGCTAGACAGAAGAATTCTCAGTAACTTCTTTGTGCTGTGTGTATTCAACTCACAGAGTGGAACGTCCCTTTGCACAGAGCAGATTTGAAACACTCTTTTTGTGGAATTTGCAAGTGGAGATTTCAAGCGATTTGATGCCAACAGTAGAAAAGGAAATATCTTCAAATAAAAACTAGACAGAATCATTCTCAGAAACTACTTTGTGATGTGTGCCTTCAACTCACAGAGTTTAACCTTTCTTTTCTTAGAGCAGTTTAGAAACACTCTGCTTGTTATGTCTGCAAGTGGATATTTGGACCTCTTTGAGGCCTTCGTTGCAAACGGGGTTTCTTCCTTTAATGCTAGACTAAGAAGAGTTCTCAGTAACTTTTTTGTGTTGTGTGTATTCAACTCACAGAGTTGAACCTTGCTTTAGAGAGAGCAGATATGAAACACTCTTGCTGTGGCATTTTCACGTGGAGATTTCAAGCGATTTAAGGACAATTGCAGAAAAGGAAATATCTTCGTATAATAACCAGACAGAATCATTCTCAGAAAGTGCTTTGTGATGTGTGCGTTCAACTCACAGAGTTTAACCTTTCTTTTCATAGAGGAGTTTGGAAACACACTGTTTGTAAAGTCTGCAATTGGATATATGGACCTGTTTGAGGCCTTCGTTGGAAACGGGATTTCTTCATTGAATGCTAGACGGAAGAATTCTCAGTAAATTCTTTGTGTTGTGTGCATTCAACTCACAGAGTGGAACGTCCCTTTAGACAGAGCAGATTTGAAACACTCTTTTTGCGGAATTTGCAAGTGGAGATTTCTAGCCATTTGATGCCAACAGTAGAAAGGGAAATATCTTCAAATAAAAACCAGACAGAATCATTCTCAGAAAATTCTTTGTGATGTGTGCGTTCAACTCACATAGTTTAACCTTTCTTTTCATAGAGCAGTTTGGAAACACTCTGTTTGTAAAGTCTGCAAGTGGATATATGGACCGCATTGAGGCCTTCGTTGGAAACGGGATTTCTTCATTTCATGCTAGACAGAAGAATTCTCAGTAACTTCTTTGTGCTGTGTGTATTCAACTCACAGAGTGGAACGTTCCTTTACACAGAGAAGATTTGAAACACTCTTTTTGTGGAATTTGCAAGTGGAGATTTCAAGCGATTTGATGCCAACAGTAGAAAAGGAAATATCTTCAAATAAAAACTAGACAGAATCATTCTCAGAAACTACTTTGTGATGTGTGCCTTCAACTCACAGAGTTTAACCTTTCTTTTCTTAGAGCAGTTTAGAAACACTCTGCTTGTTATGTCTGCAAGTGGATATTTGGACCTCTTTGAGGCCTTCGTTGCAAACGGGGTTTCTTCCTTTCATGCTAGACTAAGAAGAGTTCTCAGTAACTTTTTTGTGTTGTGTGTATTCAACTCACAGAGTTGAACCTTGCTTTAGAGAGAGCAGATTTGAAACACTCTTGCTGTGGCATTTTCAGGTGGAGATTTCAAGCGATTTGAGGACAATTGCAGAAAAGGAAATATCTTCGTATAATAACCAGACAGAATCATTCTCAGAAAGTGCTTTGTGATGTGTGCGTTCCACTCACAGAGTTTAACCTTTCTTTTCATAGAGGAGTTTGGAAACACACTGTTTGTAAAGTCTGCAAGTGGATATATGGACCTGTTTGAGGCCTTCGTTGGAAACGGGATTTCTTCATTGAATGCTAGACGGAAGAATTCTCAGTAAATTCTTTGTGTTGTGTGCATTCAACTCACAGAGTGGAACGTCCCTTTAGACAGAGCAGATTTGAAACACTCTTTTTGCGGAATTTGCAAGTGGAGATTTCTAGCCATTTGATGCCAACAGTAGAAAGGGAAATATCTTCAAATAAAAACCAGACAGAATCATTCTCAGAAAATTCTTTGTGATGTGTGCGTTCAACTCACATAGTTTAACCTTTCTTTTCATAGAGCAGTTTGGAAACACTCTGTTTGTAAAGTCTGCAAGTGGATATATGGACCGCATTGAGGCCTTCGTTGGAAACGGGATTTCTTCATTTCATGCTAGACAGAAGAATTCTCAGTAACTTCTTTGTGCTGTGTGTATTCAACTCACAGAGTGGAACGTCCCTTTACACAGAGCAGATTTGAAACACTCTTTTTGTGGAGTTTGCAAGTGGAGATTTCAAGCGAATTGATGCCAACAGTAGAAAAGGAAATATCTTCAAATAAAAACTAGACAGAATCATTCTCAGAAACTACTTTGTGATGTGTGCCTTCAACTCACAGAGTTTAACCTTTCTTTTCTTAGAGCAGTTTAGAAACACTCTGCTTGTTATGTCTGCAAGTGGATATTTGGACCTCTTTGAGGCCTTCGTTGCAAACGGGGTTTCTTCCTTTCATGCTAGACTAAGAAGAGTTCTCAGTAACTTTTTTGTGTTGTGTGTATTCAACTCACAGAGTTGAACCTTGCTTTAGAGAGAGCAGATTTGAAACACTCTTGCTGTGGCATTTTCAGGTGGAGATTTCAAGCGATTTGAGGACAATTGCAGAAAAGGAAATATCTTCGTATAATAACCAGACAGAATCATTCTCAGAAAGTGCTTTGTGATGTGTGCGTTCAACTCACAGAGTTTAACTTTTCTTTTCATAGAGGAGTTTGGAAACACACTGTTTGTAAAGTCTGCAATTGGATATATGGACCTGTTTGAGGCCTTCGTTGGAAACGGGATTTCTTCATTGAATGCTAGACGGAAGAATTCTCAGTAAATTCTTTGTGTTGTGTGCATTCAACTCACAGAGTGGAACGTCCCTTTAGACAGAGCAGATTTGAAACACTCTTTTTGCGGAATTTGCAAGTGGAGATTTCTAGCCATTTGATGCCAACAGTAGAAAGGGAAATATCTTCAAATAAAAACCAGACAGAATCATTCTCAGAAAATTCTTTGTGATGTGTGCGTTCAACTCACATAGTTTAACCTTTCTTTTCATGGAGCAGTTTGGAAACACTCTGTTTGTAAAGTCTGCAAGTGGATATATGGACCGCATTGAGGCCTTCGTTGGAAACGGGATTTCTTCATTTCATGCTAGACAGAAGAATTCTCAGTAACTTCTTTGTGCTGTGTGTATTCAACTCACAGAGTGGAACGTCCCTTTACACAGAGCAGATTTGAAACACTCTTTTTGTGGAGTTTGCAAGTGGAGATTTCAAGCGATTTGATGCCAACAGTAGAAAAGGAAATATCTTCAAATAAAAACTAGACAGAATCATTCTCAGAAACTACTTTGTGATGTGTGCCTTCAACTCACAGAGTTTAACCTTTCTTTTCTTAGAGCAGTTTAGAAACACTCTGCTTGTTATGTCTGCAAGTGGATATTTGGACCTCTTTGAGGCCTTCGTTGCAAACGGGGTTTCTTCCTTTAATGCTAGACTAAGAAGAGTTCTCAGTAACTTTTTTGTGTTGTGTGTATTCAACTCACAGAGTTGAACCTTTCTTTAGAGAGAGCAGATTTGAAACACTCTTGCTGTGGCATTTTCAGGTGGAGATTTCAAGCGTTTTGAGGACAATTGCAGAAAAGGAAATATCTTCGTATAATAACCAGACAGAATCATTCTCAGAAAGTGCTTTGTGATGTGTGCGTTCCACTCACAGAGTTTAACCTTTCTTTTCATAGAGGAGTTTGGAAACACACTGTTTGTAAACTCTGCAAGTGGATATATGGACCTGTTTGAGGCCTTCGTTGGAAACGGGATTTCTTCATTGAATGCTAGACGGAAGAATTCTCAGTAAATTCTTTGTGTTGTGTGCATTCAACTCACAGAGTGGAACGTCCCTTTAGACAGAGCAGATTTGAAACACTCTTTTTGCGGAATTTGCAAGTGGAGATTTCTAGCCATTTGATGCCAACAGTAGAAAGGGAAATATCTTCAAATAAAAACCAGACAGAATCATTCTCAGAAAATTCTTTGTGATGTGTGCGTTCAACTCACATAGTTTAACCTTTCTTTTCATAGAGCAGTTTGGAAACACTCTGTTTGTAAAGTCTGCAAGTGGATATATGGACCGCATTGAGGCCTTCGTTGGAAACGGGATTTCTTCATTTCATGCTAGACAGAAGAATTCTCAGTAACTTCTTTGTGCTGTGTGTATTCAACTCACAGAGTGGAACGTCCCTTTGCACAGAGCAGATTTGAAACACTCTTTTTGTGGAGTTTGCAAGTGGAGATTTCAAGCGATTTGATGCCAATAGTAGAAAAGGAAATATCTTCAAATAAAAACTAGACAGAATCATTCTCAGAAACTACTTTGTGATGTGTGCCTTCAACTCACAGAGTTTAACCTTTCTTTTCTTAGAGCAGTTTAGAAACACTCTGCTTGTTATGTCTGCAAGTGGATATTTGGACCTCTTTGAGGCCTTCGTTGCAAACGGGGTTTCTTCCTTTCATGCTAGACTAAGAAGAGTTCTCAGTAACTTTTTTGTGTTGTGTGTATTCAACTCACAGAGTTGAACCTTGCTTTAGAGAGAGCAGATTTGAAACACTCTTGCTGTGGCATTTTCAGGTGGAGATTTCAAGCGATTTGAGGACAATTGCAGAAAAGGAAATATCTTCGTATAATAACCAGACAGAATCATTCTCAGAAAGTGCTTTGTGATGTGTGCGTTCCACTCACAGAGTTTAACCTTTCTTTTCATAGAGGAGTTTGGAAACACACTGTTTGTAAAGTCTGCAAGTGGATATATGGACCTGTTTGAGGCCTTCGTTGGAAACGGGATTTCTTCATTGAATGCTAGACGGAAGAATTCTCAGTAAATTCTTTGTGTTGTGTGCATTCAACTCACAGAGTGGAACGTCCCTTTAGACAGAGCAGATTTGAAACACTCTTTTTGCGGAATTTGCAAGTGGAGATTTCTAGCCATTTGATGCCAACAGTAGAAAGGGAAATATCTTCAAATAAAAACCAGACAGAATCATTCTCAGAAAATTCTTTGTGATGTGTGCGTTCAACTCACATAGTTTAACCTTTCTTTTCATAGAGCAGTTTGGAAACACTCTGTTTGTAAAGTCTGCAAGTGGATATATGGACCGCATTGAGGCCTTCGTTGGAAACGGGATTTCTTCATTTCATGCTAGACAGAACAATTCTCAGTAACTTCTTTGTGCTGTGTGTATTCAACTCACACAGTGGAACGTCCCTTTGCACAGAGCAGATTTGAAACACTCTTTTTGTGGAATTTGCAAGTGGAGATTTCAAGCGATTTGATGCCAACAGTAGAAAAGGAAATATCTTCAAATAAAAACTAGACAGAATCATTCTCAGAAACTACTTTGTGATGTGTGCCTTCAACTCACAGAGTTTAACCTTTCTTTTCTTAGAGCAGTTTAGAAACACTCTGGTTGTTATGTCTGCAAGTGGATATTTGGACCTCTTTGAGGCCTTCGTTGCAAACGGCGTTTCTTCCTTTAATGCTAGACTAAGAAGAGTTCTCAGTAACTTTTTTGTGTTGTGTGTATTCAACTCACAGAGTTGAACCTTGCTTTAGAGAGAGCAGATTTGAAACACTCTTGCTGTGGCATTTTCAGGTGGAGATTTCAAGCGATTTGAGGACAATTGCAGAAAAGGAAATATCTTCGTATAATAACCAGACAGAATCATTCTCAGAAAGTGCTTTGTGATGTGTGCGTTCCACTCACAGAGTTTAACCTTTCTTTTCATAGAGGAGTTTGGAAACACACTGTTTGTAAAGTCTGCAAGTGGATATATGGACCTGTTTGAGGCCTTCGTTGGAAACGGGATTTCTTCATTGAATGCTAGACGGAAAGAATTCTCAGTAAATTCTTTGTGTTGTGTGCATTCAACTGACAGAGTGGAACGTCCCTTTAGACAGAGCAGATTTGAAACACTCTTTTTGCGGAATTTGCAAGTGGAGATTTCTAGCCATTTGATGCCAACAGTAGAAAGGGAAATATCTTCAAATAAAAACCAGACAGATCATTCTCAGAAAATTCTTTGTGATGTGTGCGTTCAACTCACATAGTTTAACCTTTCTTTTCATAGAGCAGTTTGGAAACACTCTGTTTGTAAAGTCTGCAAGTGGATCTATGGACCGCATTGAGGCCTTCGTTGGAAACGGGATTTCTTCATTTCATGCTAGACAGAAGAATTCTCAGTAACTTCTTTGTGCTGTGTGTATTCAACTCACAGAGTGGAACGTCCCTTTGCACAGAGCAGATTTGAAACACTCTTTTTGTGGAGTTTGCAAGTGGAGATTTCAAGCGATTTGATGCCAACAGTAGAAAAGGAAATATCTTCAAATAAAAACTAGACAGAATCATTCTCAGAAACTACTTTGTGATGTGTGCCTTCAACTCACAGAGTTCAACCTTTCTTTTCTTAGAGCAGTTTAGAAACACTCTGCTTGTTATGTCTGCAAGTGGATATTTGGACCTCTTTGAGGCCTTCGTTGCAAACGGGGTTTCTTCCTTTCATGCTAGACTAAGAAGAGTTCTCAGTAACTTTTTTGTGTTGTGTGTATTCAACTCACAGAGTTGAACCTTGCTTTAGAGAGAGCAGATTTGAAACACTCTTGCTGTGGCATTTTCAGGTGGAGATTTCTAGCGATTTGAGGACAATTGCACAAAAGGAAATATCTTCGTATAATAAACAGACAGAATCATTCTCAGAAAGTGCTTTGTGATGTGTGCGTTCAACTCACAGAGTTTAACCTTTCTTTTCATAGAAGAGCTTGGAAACACACTGTTTGTAAAGTCTGCAATTGGATATACAGACCTGTTTGAGGCCTCCGTTGGAAACGGGATTTCTTCATTGAATGCTAGACGGAAGAATTCTCAGTAAATTCTTTGTGTTGTGTGCATTGAACTTACAGAGTGGAACGTCCCTTTAGACAGAGCAGATTTGAAACACTCTTTTTGCGGAATTTGCAAGTGGAGATTTCTAGCCATTTGATGTCAACAGTAGAAAGGGAAATATCTTCAAATAAAAACCAGACAGAATCATTCTCAGAAAATTCTTTGTGATGTGTGCGTTCAACTCACATAGTTTAACCTTTCTTTTCATAGAGCAGTTTGGAAACACTCTGTTTGTAAAGTCTGCAAGTGGATCTATGGACCGCATTGAGGCCTTCGTTGGAAACGGGATTTCTTCATTTCATGCTAGACAGAAGAATTCTCAGTAACTTCTTTGTGCTGTGTGTATTCAACTCACAGAGTGGAACGTCCCTTTGCACAGAGCAGATTTGAAACACTCTTTTTGTGGAGTTTGCAAGTGGAGATTTCAAGCGATTTGATGCCAACAGTAGAAAAGGAAATATCTTCAAATAAAAACTAGACAGAATCATTCTCAGAAACTACTTTGTGATGTGTGCCTTCAACTCACAGAGTTTAACCTTTCTTTTCTTAGAGCAGTTTAGAAACACTCTGCTTGTTATGTCTGCAAGTGGATATTTGGACCTCTTTGAGGCCTTCGTTGCAAACGGGGTTTCTTCCTTTAATGCTAGACTAAGAAGAGTTCTCAGTAACTTTTTTGTGTTGTGTGCATTCAACTCACAGAGTTGAACCTTGCTTTAGAGAGAGCAGATTTGAAACACTCTTGCTGTGGCATTTTCAGGTGGAGATTTCAAGCGATTTGAGGACAATTGCAGAAAAGGAAATATCTTCGTATAACAACCAGACAGAATCATTCTCAGAAAGTGCTTTGTGATGTGTGCGTTCCACTCACAGAGTTTAACCTTTCTTTTCATAGAGGAGTTTGGAAACACACTGTTTGTAAACTCTGCAAGTGGATATATGGACCTGTTTGAGGCCTTCGTTGGAAACGGGATTTCTTCATTGAATGCTAGACGGAAGAATTCTCAGTAAATTCTTTGTGTTGTGTGCATTCAACTGACAGAGTGGAACGTCCCTTTAGACAGAGCAGATTTGAAACACTCTTTTTGCGGAATTTGCAAGTGGAGATTTCTAGCCATTTGATGCCAACAGTAGAAAGGGAAATATCTTCAAATAAAAACCAGACAGAATCATTCTCAGAAAATTCTTTGTGATGTGTGCGTTCAACTCACATAGTTTAACCTTTCTTTTCATAGAGCAGTTTGGAAACACTCTGTTTGTAAAGTCTGCAAGTGGATCTATGGACCGCATTGAGGCCTTCGTTGGAAACGGGATTTCTTCATTTCATGCTAGACAGAAGAATTCTCAGTAACTTCTTTGTGCTGTGTGTATTCAACTCACAGAGTGGAACGTCCCTTTGCACAGAGCAGATTTGAAACACTCTTTTTGTGGAATTTGCAAGTGGAGATTTCAAGCGATTTGATGCCAACAGTAGAAAAGGAAATATCTTCAAATAAAAACTAGACAGAATCATTCTCAGAAACTACTTTGTGATGTGTGCCTTCAACTCACAGAGTTTAACCTTTCTTTTCTTAGAGCAGTTTAGAAACACTCTGCTTGTTATGTCTGCAAGTGGATATTTGGACCTCTTTGAGGCCTTCGTTGCAAACGGGGTTTCTTCCTTTCATGCTAGACTAAGAAGAGTTCTCAGTAACTTTTTTGTGTTGTGTGTATTCAACTCACAGAGTTGAACCTTGCTTTAGAGAGAGCAGATTTGAAACACTCTCGCTGTGGAATTTTCAGGTGGAGATTTCAAGCGATTTGAGGACAATTGCAGAAAAGGAAATATCTTCGTATAATAACCAGACAGAATCATTCTCAGAGAGTGCTTTGTGATGTGTGCGTTCAACTCACAGAGTTTAACCTTTCTTTTCATAGAGGAGTTTGGAAACACACTGTTTGTAAAGTCTGCAATTGGATATATGGACCTGTTTGAGGCCTTCGTTGGAAACGGGATTTCTTCATTGAATGCTAGACGGAAGAATTCTCAGTAAATTCTTTGTGTTGTGTGCATTCAACTCACAGAGTGGAACGTCCCTTTAGACAGAGCAGATTTGAAACACTCTTTTTGCGGAATTTGCAAGTGGAGATTTCTAGCCATTTGATGCCAACAGTAGAAAGGGAAATATCTTCAAATAAAAACCAGACAGAATGATTCTCAGAAACTCCTTTGTGATGTGTGTGTCCAACTCACAGAGTTTAACCTTTCTTTTCATAGAGCAGTTAGGAAACACTCTGTTTGTAAAGTCTGCAAGTGGATATATGGACCGCATTGAGGCCTTCGTTGGAAACGGGATTTCTTCATTTCATGCTAGACAGAAGAATTCTCAGTAACTTCTTTGTGCTGTGTGTATTCAACTCACAGAGTGGAACGTCCCTTTGCACAGAGCAGATTTGAAACACTCTTTTTGTGGAGTTTGCAAGTGGAGATTTCAAGCGATTTGATGCCAACAGTAGAAAAGGAAGTATCTTCAAATAAAAACTAGACAGAATCATTCTCAGAAACTACTTTGTGATGTGTGCCTTCAACTCACAGAGTTTAACCTTTCTTTTCTTAGAGCAGTTTAGAAACACTCTGCTTGTTATGTCTGCAAGTGGATATTTGGACCTCTTTGAGGCCTTCGTTGCAAACGGGGTTTCTTCCTTTAATGGTAGACTAAGAAGAGTTCTCAGTAACTTTTTTGTGTTGTGTGTATTCAACTCACAGAGTTGAACCTTGCTTTAGAGAGAGCAGATTTGAAACACTCTTGCTGTGGCATTTTCAGGTGGAGATTTCAAGCGATTTGAGGACAATTGCAGAAAAGGAAATATCTTCGTATAATAACCAGACAGAATCATTCTCAGAAAGTGCTTTGTGATGTGTGCGTTCAACTCACAGAGTTTAACCTTTCTTTTCATAGAGGAGTTTGGAAACACACTGTTTGTAAAGTCTGCAATTGGATATATGGACCTGTTTGAGGCCTTGGTTGGAAACGGGATTTCTTCATTGAATGCTAGACGGAAGAATTCTCAGTAAATTCTTTGTGTTGTGTGCATTCAACTCACAGAGTGGAACGTCCCTTTAGACAGAGCAGATTTGAAACACTCTTTTTGCGGAATTTGCAAGTGGAGATTTCTAGCCATTTGATGCCAACAGTAGAAAGGGAAATATCTTCAAATAAAAACCAGACAGAATCATTCTCAGAAAATTCTTTGTGATGTGTGCGTTCAACTCACATAGTTTAACCTTTCTTTTCATAGAGCAGTTTGGAAACACTCTGTTTGTAAAGTCTGCAAGTGGATATATGGACCGCATTGAGGCCTTCGTTGGAAACGGGATTTCTTCATTTCATGCTAGACAGAAGAATTCTCAGTAACTTCTTTGTGCTGTGTGTATTCAACTCACAGAGTGGAACGTCCCTTTACACAGAGCAGATTTGAAACACTCTTTTTGTGGAGTTTGCAAGAGGAGATTTCAAGCGATTTGATGCCAACAGTAGAAAAGGAAATATCTTCAAATAAAAACTAGACAGAATCATTCTCAGAAACTACCTTGTGATGTGTGCCTTCAACTCACAGAGTTTAACCTTTCTTTTCTTAGAGCAGTTTAGAAACACTCTGCTTGTTATGTCTGCAAGTGGATATTTGGACCTCTTTGAGGCCTTCGTTGCAAACGGGGTTTCTTCCTTTCATGCTAGACTAAGAAGAGTTCTCAGTAACTTTTTTGTGTTGTGTGTATTCAACTCACAGAGTTGAACCTTGCTTTAGAGAGAGCAGATTTGAAACACTCTTGCTGTGGCATTTTCAGGTGGAGATTTCAAGCGATTTGAGGACAATTGCAGAAAAGGAAATATCTTCGTATAACAACCAGACAGAATCATTCTCAGAAAGTGCTTTGTGATGTGTGCGTTCCACTCACAGAGTTTAACCTTTTTTTTCATAGAGGAGTTTGGAAACACACTGTTTGTAAATTCTGCAAGTGGATTTATGGACCTGTTTGAGGCCTTCGTTGGAAACGGGATTTCTTCATTGAATGCTAGACGGAAGAATTCTCAGTAAATTCTTTGTGTTGTGTGCATTCAACTCACAGAGTGGAACGTCCCTTTAGACAGAGCAGATTTGAAACACTCTTTTTGCGGAATTTGCAAGTGGAGATTTCTAGCCATTTGATGCCAACAGTAGAAAGGGAAATATCTTCAAATAAAAACCAGACAGAATCATTCTCAGAAAATTCTTTGTGATGTGTGCGTTCAACTCACATAGTTTAACCTTTCTTTTCATAGAGCAGTTTGGAAACACTCTGTTTGTAAAGTCTGCAAGTGGATATATGGACCGCATTGAGGCCTTCGTTGGAAACGGGATTTCTTCATTTCATGCTAGACAGAAGAATTCTCAGTAACTTCTTTGTGCTGTGTGTATTCAACTCACAGAGTGGAACGTCCCTTTGCACAGAGCAGATTTGAAACACTCTTTTTGTGGAGTTTGCAAGTGGAGATTTCAAGCGATTTGATGCCAACAGTAGAAAAGGAAATATCTTCAAATAAAAACTAGACAGAATCATTCTCAGAAACTACTTTGTGATGTGTGCCTTCAACTCACAGAGTTTAACCTTTCTTTTCTTAGAGCAGTTTAGAAACACTCTGCTTGTTATGTCTGCAAGTGGATATTTGGACCTCTTTGAGGCCTTCGTTGCAAACGGGGTTTCTTCCTTTCATGCTAGACTAAGAAGAGTTCTCAGTAACTTTTTTGTGTTGTGTGTATTCAACTCACAGAGTTGAACCTTGCTTTAGAGAGAGCAGATTTGAAACACTCTTGCTGTGGCATTTTCAGGTGGAGATTTCAAGCGATTTGAGGACAATTGCAGAAAAGGAAATATCTTCGTATAATAACCAGACAGAATCATTCTCAGAAAGTGCTTTGTGATGTGTGCGTTCAACTCACAGAGTTTAACCTTTCTTTTCATAGAGGAGTTTGGAAACACACTGTTTGTAAAGTCTGCAATTGGATATATGGACCTGTTTGAGGCCTTCGTTGGAAACGGGATTTCTTCATTGAATGCTAGACGGAAGAATTCTCAGTAAATTCTTTGTGTTGTGTGCATTCAACTCACAGAGTGGAACGTCCCTTTAGACAGAGCAGATTTGAAACACTCTTTTTGCGGAATTTGCAAGTGGAGATTTCTAGCCATTTGATGCCAACAGTAGAAAGGGAAATATCTTCAAATAAAAACTAGACAGAATCATTCTCAGAAAATTCTTTGTGATGTGTGCGTTCAACTCACATAGTTTAACCTTTCTTTTCATAGAGCAGTTTGGAAACACTCTGTTTGTAAAGTCTGCAAGTGGATATATGGACCGCATTGAGGCCTTCGTTGGAAACGGGATTTCTTCATTTCATGCTAGACAGAAGAATTCTCAGTAACTTCTTTGTGCTGTGTGTATTCAACTCACAGAGTGGAACGTCCCTTTGCACAGAGCAGATTTGAAACACTCTTTTTGTGGAATTTGCAAGTGGAGATTTCAAGCGATTTGATGCCAACAGTAGAAAAGGAAATATCTTCAAATAAAAACTAGACAGAATCATTCTCAGAAACTACTTTGTGATGTGTGCCTTCAACTCACAGAGTTTAACCTTTCTTTTCTTAGAGCAGTTTAGAAACACTCTGCTTGTTATGTCTGCAAGTGGATATTTGGACCTCTTTGAGGCCTTCGTTGCAAACGGGGTTTCTTCCTTTCATGCTAGACTAAGAAGAGTTCTCAGTAACTTTTTTGTGTTGTGTGTATTCAACTCACAGAGTTGAACCTTGCTTTAGAGAGAGCAGATTTGAAACACTCTTGCTGTGGCATTTTCAGGTGGAGATTTCAAGCGATTTGAGGACAATTGCAGAAAAGGAAATATCTTCGTATAATAACCAGACAGAAATCATTCTCAGTAAAGTGCTTTGTGATGTGTGCGTTCAACTCACAGAGTTTAACCTTTCTTTCCATAGAGGAGTTTGGAAAAACACTGTTTGTAAAGTCTGCAATTGGATATATGGACCTGTTTGAGGCCTTCGTTGGAAACGGGATTTCTTCATTGAATGTTAGACGGAAGAATTCTCAGTAAATTCTTTGTGTTGTGTGCATTCAACTGACAGAGTGGAACGTCCCTTTAGACAGAGCAGATTTGAAACACTCTTTTTGCGGAATTTGCAAGTGGAGATTTCTAGCCATTTGATGCCAACAGTAGAAAGGGAAACATCTTCAAATAAAAACCAGACAGAATCATTCTCAGAAAATTCTTTGTGATGTGTGCGTTCAACTCACATAGTTTAACCTTTCTTTTCATAGAGCAGTTTGGAAACACTCTGTTTGTAAAGTCTGCAAGTGGATATATGGACCGCATTGAGGCCTTCGTTGGAAACGGGATTTCTTCATTTCATGCTAGACAGAAGAATTCTCAGTAACTTCTTTGTGCTGTGTGTATTCAACTCACAGAGTGGAACGTCCCTTTGCACAGAGCAGATTTGAAACACTCTTTTTGTGGAATTTGCAAGTGGAGATTTCAAGCGATTTGATGCCAACAGTAGAAAAGGAAATATCTTCAAATAAAAACTAGACAGAATCATTCTCAGAAACTACTTTGTGATGTGTGCCTTCAACTCACAGAGTTTAACCTTTCTTTTCTTAGAGCAGTTTAGAAACACTCTGCTTGTTATGTCTGCAAGTGGATATTTGGACCTCTTTGAGGCCTTCGTTGCAAACGGGGTTTCTTCCTTTAATGCTAGACTAAGAAGAGTTCTCAGTAACTTTTTTGTGTTGTGTGTATTCAACTCACAGAGTTGAACCTTGCTTTAGAGAGAGCAGATTTGAAACACTCTTGCTGTGGCATTTTCAGGTGGAGATTTCAAGCGATTTGAGGACAATTGCAGAAAAGGAAATATCTTCGTATAATAACCAGACAGAATCATTCTCAGAAAGTGCTTTGTGATGTGTGCGTTCAACTCACAGAGTTTAACTTTTCTTTCCATAGAGGAGTTTGGAAACACACTGTTTGTAAAGTCTGCAAGTGGATATATGGACCTGTTTGAGGCCTTCGTTGGAAACGGGATTTCTTCATTGAATGCTAGACGGAAGAATTCTCAGTAAATTCTTTGTGTTGTGTGCATTCAACTCACAGAGTGGAACGTCCCTTTAGACAGAGCAGATTTGAAACACTCTTTTTGCGGAATTTGCAAGTGGAGATTTCTAGCCATTTGATGCCAACAGTAGAAAGGGAAATATCTTCAAATAAAAACCAGACAGAATCATTCTCAGAAAATTCTTTGTGATGTGTGCGTTCAACTCACATAGTTTAACCTTTCTTTTCATAGAGCAGTTTGGAAACACTCTGTTTGTAAAGTCTGCAAGTGGATATATGGACCGCATTGAGGCCTTCGTTGGAAACGGGATTTCTTCATTTCATGCTAGACAGAAGAATTCTCAGTAACTTCTTTGTGCTGTGTGTATTCAACTCACAGAGTGGAACGTCCCTTTACACAGAGCAGATTTGAAACACTCTTTTTGTGGAGTTTGCAAGTGGAGATTTCAAGCGATTTGATGCCAACAGTAGAAAAGGAAATATCTTCAAATAAAAACTAGACAGAATCATTCTCAGAAACTACTTTGTGATGTGTGCCTTCAACTCACAGAGTTTAACCTTTCTTTTCTTAGAGCAGTTTAGAAACACTCTGCTTGTTATGTCTGCAAGTGGATATTTGGACCTCTTTGAGGCCTTCGTTGCAAACGGGGTTTCTTCCTTTCATGCTAGACTAAGAAGAGTTCTCAGTAACTTTTTTGTGTTGTGTGTATTCAACTCACAGAGTTGAACCTTGCTTTAGAGAGAGCAGATTTGAAACACTCTTGCTGTGGCATTTTCAGGTGGAGATTTCAAGCGATTTGAGGACAATTGCAGAAAAGGAAATATCTTCGTATAATAACCAGACAGAATCATTCTCAGAAAGTGCTTTGTGATGTGTGCGTTCAACTCACAGAGTTTAACCTTTCTTTTCATAGAGGAGTTTGGAAACACACTGTTTGTAAAGTCTGCAAGTGGATATATGGACCTGTTTGAGGCCTTCGTTGGAAACGGGATTTCTTCATTGAATGCTAGACGGAAGAATTCTCAGTAAATTCTTTGTGTTGTGTGCATTCAACTCACAGAGTGGAACGTCCCTTTAGACAGAGCAGATTTGAAACACTCTTTTTGCGGAATTTGCAAGTGGAGATTTCTAGCCATTTGATGCCAACAGTAGAAAGGGAAATATCTTCAAATAAAAACCAGACAGAATCATTCTCAGAAAATTCTTTGTGATGTGTGCGTTCAACTCACATAGTTTAACCTTTCTTTTCATAGAGCAGTTTGGAAACACTCTGTTTGTAAAGTCTGCAAGTGGATATATGGACCGCATTGAGGCCTTCGTTGGAAACGGGATTTCTTCATTTCATGCTAGACAGAAGAATTCTCAGTAACTTCTTTGTGCTGTGTGTATTCAACTCACAGAGTGGAACGTCCCTTTGCACAGAGCAGATTTGAAACACTCTTTTTGTGGAGTTTGCAAGTGGAGATTTCAAGCGATTTGATGCCAACAGTAGAAAAGGAAATATCTTCAAATAAAAACTAGACAGAATCATTCTCAGAAACTACTTTGTGATGTGTGCCTTCAACTCACAGAGTTTAACCTTTCTTTTCTTAGAGCAGTTTAGAAACACTCTGCTTGTTATGTCTGCAAGTGGATATTTGGACCTCTTTGAGGCCTTCGTTGCAAACGGGGTTTCTTCCTTTCATGCTAGACTAAGAAGAGTTCTCAGTAACTTTTTTGTGTTGTGTGTATTCAACTCACAGAGTTGAACCTTGCTTTAGAGAGAGCAGATTTGAAACACTCTTGCTGTGGCATTTTCAGGTGGAGATTTCAAGCGATTTGAGGACAATTGCAGAAAAGGAAATATCTTCGTATAATAACCAGACAGAATCATTCTCAGAAAGTGCTTTGTGATGTGTGCGTTCAACTCACAGAGTTTAACCTTTCTTTTCATAGAGGAGTTTGGAAACACACTGTTTGTAAAGTCTGCAATTGGATATATGGACCTGTTTGAGGCCTTCGTTGGAAACGGGATTTCTTCATTGAATGCTAGACGGAAGAATTCTCAGTAAATTCTTTGTGTTGTGTGCATTCAACTCACAGAGTGGAACGTCCCTTTAGACAGAGCAGATTTGAAACACTCTTTTTGCGGAATTTGCAAGTGGAGATTTCTAGCCATTTGATGCCAACAGTAGAAAGGGAAATATCTTCAAATAAAAACCAGACAGAATCATTCTCAGAAAATTCTTTGTGATGTGTGCGTTCAACTCACATAGTTTTACCTTTCTTTTCATAGAGCAGTTTGGAAACACTCTGTTTGTAAAGTCTGCAAGTGGATATATGGACCGCATTGAGGCCTTCGTTGGAAACGGGATTTCTTCATTTCATGCTAGACAGAAGAATTCTCAGTAACTTCTTTGTGCTGTGTGTATTCAACTCACAGAGTGGAACGTCCCTTTGCACAGAGCAGATTTGAAACACTCTTTTTGTGGAGTTTGCAAGTGGAGATTTCAAGCGATTTGATGCCAACAGTAGAAAAGGAAATATCTTCAAATAAAAACTAGACAGAATCATTCTCAGAAACTACTTTGTGATGTGTGCGTTCAACTCACAGAGTTTAACCTTTCTTTTCTTAGAGCAGTTTAGAAACACTCTGCTTGTTATGTCTGCAAGTGGATATTTGGACCTCTTTGAGGCCTTCGTTGCAAACGGGGTTTCTTCCTTTCATGCTAGACTAAGAAGAGTTCTCAGTAACTTTTTTGTGTTGTGTGTATTCAACTCACAGAGTTGAACCTTGCTTTAGAGAGAGCAGATTTGAAACACTCTTGCTGTGACATTTTCAGGTGGAGATTTCAAGCGATTTGAGGACAATTGCAGAAAAGGAAATATCTTCGTATAATAACCAGAAAGAATCATTCTCAGAAAGTGCTTTGTGATGTGTGCGTTCAACTCACAGAGTTTAACCTTTCTTTTCATAGAGGAGTTTGGAAACACACTGTTTGTAAAGTCTGCAAGTGGATATATGGACCGCTTTGAGGCATTCGTTGGAAACGGGATTTCTTCATTGAATGCTAGACAGAAGAATTCTCAGTAAATTCTTTGTGTTGTGTGCATTCAACTGACAGAGTGGAACGTCCCTTTAGACAGAGCAGATTTGAAACACTCTTTTTGCGGAATTTGCAAGTGGAGATTTCTAGCCATTTGATGCCAACAGTAGAAAGGGAAATATCTTCAAATAAAAACCAGACAGAATCATTCTCAGAAAATTCTTTGTGATGTGTGCGTTCAACTCACATAGTTTAACCTTTCTTTTCATAGAGCAGTTTGGAAACACTCTGTTTGTAAAGTCTGCAAGTGGATATATGGACCGCATTGAGGCCTTCGTTGGAAACGGGATTTCTTCATTTCATGCTAGACAGAAGAATTCTCAGTAACTTCTTTGTGCTGTGTGTATTCAACTCACAGAGTGGAACGTCCCTTTGCACAGAGCAGATTTGAAACACTCTTTTTGTGGAATTTGCAAGTGGAGATTTCAAGCGATTTGATGCCACCAGTAGAAAAGGAAATATCTTCAAATAAAAACTAGACAGAATCATTCTCAGAAACTACTTTGTGATGTGTGCCTTCAACTCACAGAGTTTAACCTTTCTTTTCTTAGAGCAGTTTAGAAACACTCTGCTTGTTATGTCTGCAAGTGGATATTTGGACCTCTTTGAGGCCTTCGTTGCAAACGGGGTTTCTTCCTTTCATGCTAGACTAAGAAGAGTTCTCAGTAACTTTTTTGTGTTGTGTGTATTCAACTCACAGAGTTGAACCTTGCTTTAGAGAGAGCAGATTTGAAACACTCTTGCTGTGGCATTTTCAGGTGGAGATTTCAAGCGATTTGAGGACAATTGCAGAAAAGGAAATATCTTCGTATAATAACCAGACAGAATCATTCTCAGAAAGTGCTTTGTGATGTGTGCGTTCAACTCACAGAGTTTAACCTTTCTTTTCATAGAGGAGTTTGGAAACACACTGTTTGTAAAGTCTGCAATTGGATATATGGACCTGTTTGAGGCCTTCGTTGGAAACGGGATTTCTTCATTGAATGCTAGACGGAAGAATTCTCAGTAAATTCTTTGTGTTGTGTGCATTCAACTCACAGAGTGGAACGTCCCTTTAGACAGAGCAGATTTGAAACACTCTTTTTGCGGAATTTGCAAGTGGAGATTTCTAGCCATTTGATGCCAACAGTAGAAAGGGAAATATCTTCAAATAAAAACCAGACAGAATCATTCTCAGAAAATTCTTTGTGATGTGTGCTTTCAACTCACATAGTTTAACCTTTCTTTTCATAGAGCAGTTTGGAAACACTCTGTTTGTAAAGTCTGCAAGTGGATATATGGACCGCATTGAGGCCTTCGTTGGAAACGGGATTTCTTCATTTCATGCTAGACAGAAGAATTCTCAGTAACTTCTTTGTGCTGTGTGTATTGAACTCACAGAGTGGAACGTCCCTTTGCACAGAGCAGATTTGAAACACTCTTTTTGTGGAATTTGCAAGTGGAGATTTCAAGCGATCTGATGCCAACAGTAGAAAAGGAAATATCTTCAAATAAAAACTAGACAGAATCATTCTCAGAAACTACTTTGTGATGTGTGCCTTCAACTCACAGAGTTTAACCTTTCTTTTCTTAGAGCAGTTTAGAAACACTCTGCTTGTTATGTCTGCAAGTGGATATTTGGACCTCTTTGAGGCCTTCGTTGCAAACGGGGTTTCTTCCTTTCATGCTAGACTAAGAAGAGTTCTCAGTAACTTTTTTGTGTTGTGTGTATTCAACTCACAGAGTTGAACCTTGCTTTAGAGAGAGCAGATTTGAAACACTCTTGCTGTGGCATTTTCAGGTGGAGATTTCAAGCGATTTGAGGACAATTGCAGAAAAGGAAATATCTTCGTATAATAACCAGACAGAATCATTCTCAGAAAGTGCTTTGTGATGTGTGCGTTCCACTCACAGAGTTTAACCTTTCTTTTCATAGAGGAGTTTGGAAACACACTGTTTGTAAAGTCTGCAAGTGGATATATGGACCTGTTTGAGGCCTTCGTTGGAAACGGGATTTCTTCATTGAATGCTAGACGGAAGAATTCTCAGTAAATTCTTTGTGTTGTGTGCATTCAACTCACAGAGTGGAACGTCCCTTTAGACAGAGCAGATTTGAAACACTCTTTTTGCGGAATTTGCAAGTGGAGATTTCTAGCCATTTGATGCCAACAGTAGAAAGGGAAATATCTTCAAATAAAAACCAGACAGAATCATTCTCAGAAAATTCTTTGTGATGTGTGCGTTCAACTCACATAGTTTAACCTTTCTTTTCATAGAGCAGTTTGGAAACACTCTGTTTGTAAAGTCTGCAAGTGGATATATGGACCGCATTGAGGCCTTCGTTGGAAACGGGATTTCTTCATTTCATGCTAGACAGAAGAATTCTCAGTAACTTCTTTGTGCTGTGTGTATTCAACTCACAGAGTGGAACGTCCCTTTGCACAGAGCAGATTTGAAACACTCTTTTTGTGGAGTTTGCAAGTGGAGATTTCAAGCGATTTGATGCCAACAGTAGAAAAGGAAATATCTTCAAATAAAAACTAGACAGAATCATTCTCAGAAACTACTTTGTGATGTGTGCCTTCAACTCACAGAGTTTAACCTTTCTTTTCTTAGAGCAGTTTAGAAACACTCTGCTTGTTATGTCTGCAAGTGGATATTTGGACCTCTTTGAGGCCTTCGTTGCAAACGGGGTTTCTTCCTTTCATGCTAGACTAAGAAGAGTTCTCAGTAACTTTTTTGTGTTGTGTGTATTCAACTCACAGAGTTGAACCTTGCTTTAGAGAGAGCAGATTTGAAACACTCTTGCTGTGGCATTTTCAGGTGGAGATTTCAAGCGATTTGAGGACAATTGCAGAAAAGGAAATATCTTCGTATAACAACCAGACAGAATCATTCTCAGAAAGTGCTTTGTGATGTGTGCGTTCAACTCACAGAGTTTAACCTTTCTTTTCATAGAGGAGTTTGGAAACACACTGTTTGTAAAGTCTGCAATTGGATATATGGACCTGTTTGAGGCCTTCGTTGGAAACGGGATTTCTTCATTGAATGCTAGACGGAAGAATTCTCAGTAAATTCTTTGTGTGGTGTGCATTCAACTCACAGAGTGGAACGTCCCTTTAGACAGAGCAGATTTGAAACACTCTTTTTGCGGAATTTGCAAGTGGAGATTTCTAGCCATTTGATGCCAACAGTAGAAAGGGAAATATCTTCAAATAAAAACCAGACAGAATCATTCTCAGAAAATTCTTTGTGATGTGTGCGTTCAACTCACATAGTTTAACCTTTCTTTTCATAGAGCAGTTTGGAAACACTCTGTTTGTAAAGTCTGCAAGTGGATATATGGACCGCATTGAGGCCTTCGTTGGAAACGGGATTTCTTCATTTCATGCTAGACAGAAGAATTCTCAGTAACTTCCTTGTGCTGTGTGTATTCAACTCACAGAGTGGAACGTCCCTTTGCACAGAGCAGATTTGAAACACTCTTTTTGTGGAGTTTGCAAGTGGAGATTTCAAGCGATTTGATGCCAACAGTAGGAAAGGAAATATCTTCAAATAAAAACTAGACAGAATCATTCTCAGAAACTACTTTGTGATGTCTGCCTTCAACTCACAGAGTTTAACCTTTCTTTTCTTAGAGCAGTTTAGAAACACTCTGCTTGTTATGTCTGCAAGTGGATATTTGGACCTTCTTTGAGGCCTTCGTTGCAAACGGGGTTTCTTCCTTTCATGCTAGACTAAGAAGAGTTCTCAGTAACTTTTTTGTGTTGTGTGTATTCAACTCACAGAGTTGAACCTTGCTTTAGAGAGAGCAGATTTGAAACACTCTTGCTGTGGCATTTTCAGGTGGAGATTTCAAGCGATTTGAGGACAATTGCAGAAAAGGAAATATCTTCGTATAATAACCAGACAGAATCATTCTCAGAAAGTGCTTTGTGATGTGTGCGTTCCACTCACAGAGTTTAACCTTTCTTTTCATAGAGGAGTTTGGAAACACACTGTTTGTAAAGTCTGCAAGTGGATATATGGACCTGTTTGAGGCCTTCGTTGGAAACGGGATTTCTTCATTGAATGCTAGACGGAAGAATTCTCAGTAAATTCTTTGTGTTGTGTGCATTCAACTCACAGAGTGGAACGTCCCTTTAGACAGAGCAGATTTGAAACACTCTTTTTGCGGAATTTGCAAGTGGAGATTTCTAGCCATTTGATGCCAACAGTAGAAAGGGAAATATCTTCAAATAAAAACCAGACAGAATCATTCTCAGAAAATTCTTTGTGATGTGTGCGTTCAACTCACATAGTTTAACCTTTCTTTTCATAGAGCAGTTTGGAAACACTCTGTTTGTAAAGTCTGCAAGTGGATATATGGACCGCATTGAGGCCTTCGTTGGAAACGGGATTTCTTCATTTCATGCTAGACAGAAGAATTCTCAGTAACTTCTTTGTGCTGTGTGTATTCAACTCACAGAGTGGAACGTCCCTTTGCACAGAGCAGATTTGAAACACTCTTTTTGTGGAATTTGCAAGTGGAGATTTCAAGCGATTTGATGCCAACAGTAGAAAAGGAAATATCTTCAAATAAAAACTAGACAGAATCATTCTCAGAAACTACTTTGTGATGTGTGCCTTCAACTCACAGAGTTTAACCTTTCTTTTCTTAGAGCAGTTTAGAAACACTCTGCTTGTTATGTCTGCAAGTGGATATTTGGACCTCTTTGAGGCCTTCGTTGCAAACGGGGTTTCTTCCTTTCATGCTAGACTAAGAAGAGTTCTCAGTAACTTTTTTGTGTTGTGTGTATTCAACTCACAGAGTTGAACCTTGCTTTAGAGAGAGCAGATTTGAAACACTCTTGCTGTGGCATTTTCAGGTGGAGATTTCAAGCGATTTGAGGACAACTGCAGAAAAGGAAATATCTTCGTATAATAACCAGACAGAATCATTCTCAGAAAGTGCTTTGTGATGTGTGCGTTCAACTCACAGAGTTTAACCTTTCTTTTCATAGAGGAGTTTGGAAACACACTGTTTGTAAAGTCTGCAAGTGGATATATGGACCTGTTTGAGGCCTTCGTTGGAAACGGGATTTCTTCATTGAATGCTAGACGGAAGAATTCTCAGTAAATTCTTTGTGTTGTGTGCATTCAACTGACAGAGTGGAACGTCCCTTTAGACAGAGCAGATTTGAAACACTCTTTTTGCGGAATTTGCAAGTGGAGATTTCTAGCCATTTGATGCCAACAGTAGAAAGGGAAATATCTTCAAATAAAAACCAGACAGAATCATTCTCAGAAAATTCTTTGTGATGTGTGCGTTCAACTCACATAGTTTAACCTTTCTTTTCATAGAGCAGTTTGGAAACACTCTGTTTGTAAAGTCTGCAAGTGGATATATGGACCGCATTGAGGCCTTCGTTGGAAACGGGATTTCTTCATTTCATGCTAGACAGAAGAATTCTCAGTAACTTCTTTGTGCTGTGTGTATTCAACTCACAGAGTGGAACGTCCCTTTGCACAGAGCAGATTTGAAACACTCTTTTTCTGGAGTTTGCAAGTGGAGATTTCAAGCGATTTGATGCCAACAGTAGAAAAGGAAATATCTTCAAATAAAAACTAGACAGAATCATTCTCAGAAACTACTTTGTGATGTGTGCCTTCAACTCACAGAGTTTAACCTTTCTTTTCTTAGAGCAGTTTAGAAACACTCTGCTTGTTATGTCTGCAAGTGGATATTTGGACCTCTTTGAGGCCTTCGTTGCAAACGGGGTTTCTTCCTTTAATGCTAGACTAAGAAGAGTTCTCAGTAACTTTTTGTGTTGTGTGTATTCAACTCACAGAGTTGAACCTTGCTTTAGAGAGAGCAGATTTGAAACACTCTTGCTGTGGCATTTTCAGGTGGAGATTTCAAGCGATTTGAGGACAATTGCAGAAAAGGAAATATCTTCGTATAATAACCAGACAGAATCATTCTCAGAAAGTGCTTTGTGATGTGTGCGTTCCACTCACAGAGTTTAACCTTTCTTTTCATAGAGGAGTTTGGAAACACACTATTTGTAAAGTCTGCAAGTGGATATATGGACCTGTTTGAGGCCTTCGTTGGAAACGGGATTTCTTCATTGAATGCTAGACGGAAGAATTCTCAGTAAATTCTTTGTGTTGTGTGCATTCAACTGACAGAGTGGAACGTCCCTTTAGACAGAGCAGATTTGAAACACTCTTTTTGCGGAATTTGCAAGTGGAGATTTCTAGCCATTTGATGCCAACAGTAGAAAGGGAAATATCTTCAAATAAAAACCAGACAGAATCATTCTCAACAACTACTTTGTGATGTGTGGTTTCAACTCACAAAGTTTAACCTTTCTTTTCATAGAGCAGTTTGGAAACACTCTGTTTGTAAAGTCTGCAAGTGGATATATGGACCGCATTGAGGCCTTCGTTGGAAACGGGATTTCTTCATTTCATGCTAGACAGAAGAATTCTCAGTAACTTCTTTGTGCTGTGTGTATTCAACTCACAGAGTGGAACGTCCCTTTGCACAGAGCAGATTTGAAACACTCTTTTTGTGGAGTTTGCAAGTGGAGATTTCAAGCGATTTGATGCCAACAGTAGAAAAGGAAGTATCTTCAAATAAAAACTAGACAGAATCATTCTCAGAAAATTCTTTGTGATGTGTGCGTTCAACTCACATAGTTTAACCTTTCTTTTCTTAGAGCAGTTTAGAAACACTCTGCTTGTTATGTCTGCAAGTGGATATTTGGACCTCTTTGAGGCCTTCGTTGCAAACGGGGTTTCTTCCTTTCATGCTAGACTAAGAAGAGTTCTCAGTAACTTTTTTGTGTTGTGTGTATTCAACTCACAGAGTTGAAACTTGCTTTAGAGAGAGCAGATTTGAAACACTCTTGCTGTGGCATTTTCAGGTGGAGATTTCAAGCGATTTGAGGACAATTGCAGAAAAGGAAATATCTTCGTATAATAACCAGACAGAATCATTCTCAGAAAGTGCTTTGTGATGTGTGCGTTCAACTCACAGAGTTTAACCTTTCCTTTCATAGAGGAGTTTGGAAACACACTGTTTGTAAAGTCTGCAATTGGATATATGGACCTGTCTGAGGACTTCGTTGGAAACGGGATTTCTTCATTGAATGCTAGACGGAAGAATTCTCAGTAAATTCTTTGTGTTGTGTGCATTCAACTCACAGAGTGGAACGTCTCTTTAGACAGAGCAGATTTGAAACACTCTTTTTGCGGAATTTACAAGTGGAGATTTCTAGCCGTTTGATGCCAACAGTAGAAAGGGAAATATCTTCAAATAAAAACCAGACAGAATCATTCTCAGAAAATTCTTTGTGATGTGTGCGTTCAACTCACATAGTTTAACCTTTCTTTTCATAGAGCAGTTTGGAAACACTCTGTTTGTAAAGTCTGCAAGTGGATATATGGACCGCATTGAGGCCTTCGTTGGAAACGGGATTTCTTCATTTCATGCTAGACAGAAGAATTCTCAGTAACTTCTTTGTGCTGTGTGTATTCAACTCACAGAGTGGAACGTCCCTTTGCACAGAGCAGATTTGAAACACTCTTTTTGTGGAGTTTGCAAGTGGAGATTTCAAGCGATTTGATGCCAACAGTAGAAAAGGAAATATCTTCAAATAAAAACTAGACAGAATCATTCTCAGAAACTACTTTGTGATGTGTGCCTTCAACTCACAGAGTTTAACCTTTCTTTTCTTAGAGCAGTTTAGAAACACTCTGCTTGTTATGTCTGCAAGTGGATATTTGGACCTCTTTGAGGCCTTCGTTGCAAACGGGGTTTCTTCCTTTCATGCTAGACTAAGAAGAGTTCTCAGTAACTTTTTTGTGTTGTGTGTATTCAACTCACAGAGTTGAACCTTGCTTTAGAGAGAGCAGATTTGAAACACTCTTGCTGTGGCATTTTCAGGTGGAGATTTCAAGCGATTTGAGGACAATTGCAGAAAAGGAAATATCTTCGTATAATAACCAGACAGAATCATTCTCAGAAAGTGCTTTGTGATGTGTGCGTTCCACTCACAGAGTTTAACCTTTCTTTTCATAGAGGAGTTTGGAAACACACTGTTTGTAAAGTCTGCAAGTGGATATATGGACCTGTTTGAGGCCTTCGTTGGAAACGGGATTTCTTCATTGAATGCTAGACGGAAGAATTCTCAGTAAATTCTTTGTGTTGTGTGCATTCAACTCACAGAGTGGAACGTCCCTTTAGACAGAGCAGATTTGAAACACTCTTTTTGCGGAATTTGCAAGTGGAGATTTCTAGCCATTTGATGCCAACAGTAGAAAGGGAAATATCTTCAAATAAAAACCAGACAGAATCATTCTCAGTAAAATTCTTTGTGATGTGTGCGTTCAACTCACATAGTTTAACCTTTCTTTTCATAGAGCAGTTTGGAAACACTCTGTTTGTAAAGTCTGCAAGTGGATATATGGACCGCATTGAGGCCTTTGTTGGAAACGGGATTTCTTCATTTCATGCTAGACAGAAGAATTCTCAGTAACTTCTTTGTGCTGTGTGTATTCAACTCACAGAGTGGAACGTCCCTTTGCACAGAGCAGATTTGAAACACTCTTTTTGTGGAGTTTGCAAGTGGAGATTTCAAGCGATTTGATGCCAACAGTAGAAAAGGAAATATCTTCAAATAAAAACTAGACAGAATCATTCTCAGAAACTACTTTGTGATGTGTGCCTTCAACTCACAGAGTTTAACCTTTCTTTTCTTAGAGCAGTTTAGAAACACTCTGCTTGTTATGTCTGCAAGTGGATATTTGGACCTCTTTGAGGCCTTCGTTGCAAACGGGGTTTCTTCCTTTCATGCTAGACTAAGAAGAGTTCTCAGTAACTTTTTTGTGTTGTGTGTATTCAACTCACAGAGTTGAACCTTGCTTTAGAGAGAGCAGATTTGAAACACTCTTGCTGTGGCATTTTCAGGTGGAGATTTCAAGCGATTTGAGGACAATTGCAGAAAAGGAAATATCTTCGTATAATAACCAGACAGAATCATTCTCAGAAAGTGCTTTGTGATGTGTGCGTTCCACTCACAGAGTTTAACCTTTCTTTTCATAGAGGAGTTTGGAAACACACTGTTTGTAAAGTCTGCAAGTGGATATATGGACCTGTTTGAGGCCTTCGTTGGAAACGGGATTTCTTCATTGAATGCTAGACGGAAGAATTCTCAGTAAATTCTTTGTGTTGTGTGCATTCAACTCACAGAGTGGAACGTCCCTTTAGACAGAGCAGATTTGAAACACTCTTTTTGCGGAATTTGCAAGTGGAGATTTCTAGCAATTTGATGCCAACAGTAGAAAGGGAAATATCTTCAAATAAAAACCAGACAGAATCATTCTCAGAAAATTCTTTGTGATGTGTGCGTTCAGCTCACATAGTTTAAATTTTCTTTTAATAGAGCAGTTTGGAAACACTCTGTTTGTAAAGTCTGCAAGTAGATATATGGACCGCTTTGAGGCCTTCGTTGGAAACCGGATTTCTTCCTTTAATGCTAGACTAAGAAGAATTCTCAGTAACTTCTTTGTGCTGTGTGTATTCAACTCACAGAGTGGAACGTCCCTTTACACAGAGCAGATTTGAAACACTCTTTTTGTGGAGTTTGCAAGTGGAGATTTCAAGCGATTTGATGCCAACAGTAGAAAAGGAAATATCTTCAAATAAAAACTAGACAGAATCATTCTCAGAAACTACTTTGTGATGTGTGCCTTCAACTCACAGAGTTTAACCTTTCTTTTCTTAGAGCAGTTTAGAAACACTCTGCTTGTTATGTCTGCAAGTGGATATTTGGACCTCTTTGAGGCCTTCGTTGCAAACGGGGTTTCTTCCTTTCATGCTAGACTAAGAAGAGTTCTCAGTAACTTTTTTGTGTTGTGTGTATTCAACTCACAGAGTTGAACCTTGCTTTAGAGAGAGCAGATTTGAAACACTCTTGCTGTGGCATTTTCAGGTGGAGATTTCAAGCGATTTGAGGACAATTGCAGAAAAGGAAATATCTTCGTATAACAACCAGACAGAAATCATTCTCAGAAAGTGCTTTGTGATGTGTGCGTTCAACTCACAGAGTTTAACCTTTCTTTTCATAGAGGAGTTTGGAAACACACTGTTAGTAAAGTCTGCAGGTGGATATATGGACCTGTTTGAGGCCTTCGTTGGAAACGGGATTTCTTCATTGAATGCTAGACGGAAGAATTCTCAGTAAATTCTTTGTGTTGTGTGCATTCAACTCACAGAGTGGAACGTCCCTTTAGACAGAGCAGATTTGAAACACTCTTTTTGCGGAATTTGCAAGTGGAGATTTCTAGCCATTTGATGCCAACAGTAGAAAGGGAAATATCTTCAAATAAAAACCAGACAGAATCATTCTCAGAAAATTCTTTGTGATGTGTGCGTTCAACTCACATAGTTTAACCTTTCTTTTCATAGAGCAGTTTGGAAACACTCTGTTTGTAAAGTCTGCAAGTGGATATATGGACCGCATTGAGGCCTTCGTTGGAAACGGGATTTCTTCATTTCATGCTAGACAGAAGAATTCTCAGTAACTTCTTTGTGCTGTGTGTATTCAACTCACAGAGTGGAACGTCCCTTTGCACAGAGCAGATTTGAAACACTCTTTTTGTGGAGTTTGCAAGTGGAGATTTCAAGCGATTTGATGCCAACAGTAGAAAAGGAAATATCTTCAAATAAAAACTAGACAGAATCATTCTCAGAAACTACTTTGTGATGTGTGCCTTCAACTCACAGAGTTTAACCTTTCTTTTCTTAGAGCAGTTTAGAAACACTCTGCTTGTTATGTCTGCAAGTGGATATTTGGACCTCTTTGAGGCCTTCGTTGCAAACGGGGTTTCTTCCTTTAATGCTAGACTAAGAAGAGTTCTCAGTAACTTTTTTGTGTTGTGTGTATTCAACTCACAGAGTTGAACCTTGCTTTAGAGAGAGCAGATTTGAAACACTCTTGCTGTGGCATTTTCAGGTGGAGATTTCAAGCGATTTGAGGACAATTGCAGAAAAGGAAATATCTTCGTATAATAACCAGACAGAATCATTCTCAGAAAGTGCTTTGTGATGCGTGCGTTCAACTCACAGAGCTTAACCTTTCTTTTCATAGAGGAGTTTGGAAACGACACTGTTTGTAAAGTCTGCAAGTGGATATATGGACCTGTTTGAGGCCTTCGTTGGAAACGGGATTTTATCATATAATGCTAGACGGAAGAATTCTCAGTAAATTCTTTGTGTTGTGTGCATTCAACTCACAGAGTGGAACGTCCCTTTAGACAGAGCAGATTTGAAACACTCTTTTTGCGGAATTTGCAAGTGGAGATTTCTAGCCATTTGATGCCAACAGTAGAAAGGGAAATATCTTCAAATAAAAACTAGACAGAATCATCCTCAGAAAATTCTTTGTGATGTGTGCCTTCAACTCACAAAGTTTAACCTTTCTTTTCTTAGAGCAGTTTAGAAACACTCTGCTTGTTATGTCTGCAAGTGGATATTTGGACCTCTTTGAGGCCTTCGTTGCAAACGGGGTTTCTTCCTTTCATGCTAGACTAAGAAGAGTTCTCAGTAACTTTTTTGTGTTGTGTGTATTCAACTCACAGAGTTGAACCTTGCTTTAGAGAGAGCAGATTTGAAACACTCTTGCTGTGGCATTTTCAGGTGGAGATTTCAAGCGTTTTGAGGACAATTACAGAAAAGGAAATAGCTTCGTATAACAACCAGACAGAATCATTCTCAGAAAGTGCTTTGTGATGTGTGCGTTCAACTCACAGAGTTTAACCTTTCTTTTCATAGAGGAGTTTGGAAACACACTGTTTGTAAAGTCTGCAATTGGATATATGGACCTGTTTGAGGCCTTCGTTGGAAACGGGATTTCTTCATTGAATGCTAGACGGAAGAATTCTCAGTAAATTCTTTGTGTTGTGTGCATTCAACTCACAGAGTGGAACGTCCCTTTAGACAGAGCAGATTTGAAACACTCTTTTTGCGGAATTTGCAAGTGGAGATTTCTAGCCATTTGATGCCAACAGTAGAAAGGGAAATATCTTCAAATAAAAACCAGACAGAATCATTCTCAGAAAATTCTTTGTGATGTGTGCGTTCAACTCACATAGTTTAACCTTTCTTTTCATGGAGCAGTTTGGAAACACTCTGTTTGTAAAGTCTGCAAGTGGATATATGGACCGCATTGAGGCCTTCGTTGGAAACGGGATTTCTTCATTTCATACTAGACAGAAGAATTCTCAGTAACTTCTTTGTGCTGTGTGTATTCAACTCACAGAGTGGAACGTCCCTTTACACAGAGCAGATTTGAAACACTCTTTTTGTGGAGTTTGCAAGTGGAGATTTCAAGCGATTTGATGCCAACCGTAGAAAAGGAAATATCTTCAAATAAAAACTAGACAGAATCATTCTCAGAAACTACTTTGTGATGTGTGCCTTCAACTCACAGAGTTTAACCTTTCTTTTCTTAGAGCAGTTTAGAAACACTATGCTTGTTATGTCTGCAAGTGGATATTTGGACCTCTTTGAGGCCTTCGTTGCAAACGGGGTTTCTTCCTTTCATGCTAGACTAAGAAGAGTTCTCAGTAACTTTTTTGTGTTGTGTGTATTCAACTCACAGAGTTGAACCTTGCTTTAGAGAGAGCAGATTTGAAACACTCTTGCTGTGGCATTTTCAGGTGGAGATTTCAAGCGATTTGAGGACAATTGCAGAAAAGGAAATATCTTCGTATAATAACCAGACAGAATCATTCTCAGAAAGTGCTTTGTGATGTGTGCGTTCAACTCACAGAGTTTAACCTTTCTTTTCATAGAGGAGTTTGGAAACACACTGTTTGTAAAGTCTGCAATTGGATATATGGACCTGTTTGAGGCCTTCGTTGGAAACGGGATTTCTTCATTGAATGCTAGGCAGAAGAATTCTCAGTAAATTCTTTGTGTTGTGTGCATTCAACTCACAGAGTGGAACGTCCCTTTAGACAGAGCAGATTTGAAACACTCTTTTTGCGGAATTTGCAAGTGGAGATTTCTAGCCATTTGATGCCAACAGTAGAAAGGGAAATATCTTCAAATAAAAACCAGACAGAATCATTCTCAGAAAATTCTTTGTGATGTGTGCGTTCAACTCACATAGTTTAACCTTTCTTTTCATAGAGCAGTTTGGAAACACTCTGTTTGTAAAGTCTGCAAGTGGATATATGGACCGCATTGAGGCCTTCGTTGGAAACGGGATTTCTTCATTTCATGCTAGACAGAAGAATTCTCAGTAACTTCTTTGTGCTGTGTGTATTCAACTCACAGAGTGG
Organism: Homo sapiens; assembly: GCF_000001405.40. NCBI lineage: Eukaryota > Metazoa > Chordata > Mammalia > Primates > Hominidae > Homo > Homo sapiens. The sequence continues at coordinate 60,615,341 of NC_000007.14, forward strand.
AACGTCCCTTTGCACAGAGCAGATTTGAAACACTCTTTTTGTGGAGTTTGCAAGTGGAGATTTCAAGCGATTTGATGCCAACAGTAGAAAAGGAAATATCTTCAAATAAAAACTAGACAGAATCATTCTCAGAAACTACTTTGTGATGTGTGCCTTCAACTCACAGAGTTTAACCTTTCTTTTCTTAGAGCAGTTTAGAAACACTCTGCTTGTTATGTCTGCAAGTGGATATTTGGACCTCTTTGAGGCCTTCGTTGCAAACGGGGTTTCTTCCTTTCATGCTAGACTAAGAAGAGTTCTCAGTAACTTTTTTGTGTTGTGTGTATTCAACTCACAGAGTTGAACCTTGCTTTAGAGAGAGCAGATTTGAAACACTCTTGCTGTGGCATTTTCAGGTGGAGATTTCAAGCGATTTGAGGACAATTGCAGAAAAGGAAATATCTTCGTATAATAACCAGACAGAATCATTCTCAGAAAGTGCTTTGTGATGTGTGCGTTCAACTCACAGAGTTTAACCTTTCTTTTCATAGAGGAGTTTGGAAACACACTGTTTGTAAAGTCTGCAAGTGGATATATGGACCTGTTTGAGGCCTTCGTTGGAAACGGGATTTCTTCATTGAATGCTAGACGGAAGAATTCTCAGTAAATTCTTTGTGTTGTGTGCATTCAACTCACAGAGTGGAACGTCCCTTTAGACAGAGCAGATTTGAAACACTCTTTTTGCGGAATTTGCAAGTGGAGATTTCTAGCCATTTGATGCCAACAGTAGAAAGGGAAATATCTTCAAATAAAAACCAGACAGAATCATTCTCAGAAAATTCTTTGTGATGTGTGCGTTCAACTCACATAGTTTAACCTTTCTTTTCATAGAGCAGTTTGGAAACACTCTGTTTGTAAAGTCTGCAAGTGGATATATGGACCGCATTGAGGCCTTCGTTGGAAACGGGATTTCTTCATTTCATGCTAGACAGAAGAATTCTCAGTAACTTCTTTGTGCTGTGTGTATTCAACTCACAGAGTGGAACGTCCCTTTACACAGAGCAGATTTGAAACACTCTTTTTGTGGAGTTTGCAAGTGGAGATTTCAAGCGATTTGATGCCAACAGTAGAAAAGGAAATATCTTCAAATAAAAACTAGACAGAATCATTCTCAGAAACTACTTTGTGATGTGTGCCTTCAACTCACAGAGTTTAACCTTTCTTTTCTTAGAGCAGTTTAGAAACACTCTGCTTGTTATGTCTGCAAGTGGATATTTGGACCTCTTTGAGGCCTTCGTTGCAAACGGGGTTTCTTCCTTTCATGCTAGACTAAGAAGAGTTCTCAGTAACTTTTTTGTGTTGTGTGTATTCAACTCACAGAGTTGAACCTTGCTTTAGAGAGAGCAGATTTGAAACACTCTTGCTGTGGCATTTTCAGGTGGAGATTTCAAGCGATTTGAGGACAATTGCAGAAAAGGAAATATCTTCGTATAATAACCAGACAGAATCATTCTCAGAAAGTGCTTTGTGATGTGTGCGTTCAACTCACAGAGTTTAACCTTTCTTTTCATAGAGGAGTTTGGAAACACACTGTTTGTAAAGTCTGCAATTGGATATATGGACCTGTTTGAGGCCTTCGTTGGAAACGGGATTTCTTCATTGAATGCTAGACGGAAGAATTCTCAGTAAATTCTTTGTGTTGTGTGCATTCAACTCACAGAGTGGAACGTCCCTTTAGACAGAGCAGATTTGAAACACTCTTTTTGCGGAATTTGCAAGTGGAGATTTCTAGCCATTTGATGCCAACAGTAGAAAGGGAAATATCTTCAAATAAAAACCAGACAGAATCATTCTCAGAAAATTCTTTGTGATGTGTGCGTTCAACTCACATAGTTTAACCTTTCTTTTCATAGAGCAGTTTGGAAACACTCTGTTTGTAAAGTCTGCAAGTGGATATATGGACCGCATTGAGGCCTTCGTTGGAAATGGGATTTCTTCATTTCATGCTAGACAGAAGAATTCTCAGTAACTTCTTTGTGCTGTGTGTATTCAACTCACAGAGTGGAACGTCCCTTTACACAGAGCAGATTTGAAACACTCTTTTTGTGGAGTTTGCAAGTGGAGATTTCAAGCGATTTGATACCAGCAGTAGAAAAGGAAATATCTTCAAATAAAAACTAGACAGAATCATTCTCAGAAACTACTTTGTGATGTGTGCCTTCAACTCACAGAGTTTAACCTTTCTTTTCTTAGAGCAGTTTAGAAACACTCTGCTTGTTATGTCTGCAAGTGGATATTTGGACCTCTTTGAGGCCTTCGTTGCAAACGGGGTTTCTTCCTTTCATGCTAGACTAAGAAGAGTTCTCAGTAACTTTTTTGTGTTGTGTGTATTCAACTCACAGAGTTGAACCTTGCTTTAGAGAGAGCAGATTTGAAACACTCTTGCTGTGGCATTTTCAGGTGGAGATTTCAAGCGATTTGAGGACAATTGCAGAAAAGGAAATATCTTCGTATAATAACCAGACAGAAATCATTCACAGAAAGTGCTTTGTGATGTGTGCGTTCAACTCACAGAGTTTAACCTTTCTTTTCATAGAGGAGTTTGGAAACACACTGTTTGTAAAGTCTGCAATTGGATATATGGACCTGTTTGAGGCCTTCGTTGGAAACGGGATTTCTTCATTGAATGCTAGACGGAAGAATTCTCAGTAAATTCTTTGTGTTGTGTGCATTCAACTCACAGAGTGGAACGTCCCTTTAGACAGAGCAGATTTGAAACACTCTTTTTGCGGAATTTGCAAGTGGAGATTTCTAGCCATTTGATGCCAACAGTAGAAAGGGAAATATCTTCAAATAAAAACCAGACAGAATCATTCTCAGAAAATTCTTTGTGATGTGTGCGTTCAACTCACATAGTTTAACCTTTCTTTTCATAGAGCAGTTTGGAAACACTCTGTTTGTAAAGTCTGCAAGTGGATATATGGACCGCATTGAGGCCTTCGTTGGAAACGGGATTTCTTCATTTCATGCTAGACAGAAGAATTCTCAGTAACTTCTTTGTGCTGTGTGTATTCAACTCACAGAGTGGAACGTCCCTTTACACAGAGCAGATTTGAAACACTCTTTTTGTGGAGTTTGCAAGTGGAGATTTCAAGCGATTTGATGCCAACAGTAGAAAAGGAAATATCTTCAAATAAAAACTAGACAGAATCATTCTCAGAAACTACTTTGTGATGTGTGCCTTCAACTCACAGAGTTTAACCTTTCTTTTCTTAGAGCAGTTTAGAAACACTCTGCTTGTTATGTCTGCAAGTGGATATTTGGACCTCTTTGAGGCCTTCGTTGCAAACGGGGTTTCTTCCTTTCATGCTAGACTAAGAAGAGTTCTCAGTAACTTTTTTGTGTTGTGTGTATTCAACTCACAGAGTTGAACCTTGCTTTAGAGAGAGCAGATTTGAAACACTCTTGCTGTGGCATTTTCAGGTGGAGATTTCAAGCGATTTGAGGACAATTGCAGAAAAGGAAATATCTTCGTATAATAACCAGACAGAATCATTCTCAGAAAGTGCTTTGTGATGTGTGCGTTCAACTCACAGAGTTTAACCTTTCTTTTCATAGAGGAGTTTGGAAACACACTGTTTGTAAAGTCTGCAAGTGGATATATGGACCTGTTTGAGGCCTTCGTTGGAAACGGGATTTCTTCATTGAATGCTAGACGGAAGAATTCTCAGTAAATTCTTTGTGTTGTGTGCATTCAACTCACAGAGTGGAACGTCCCTTTAGACAGAGCAGATTTGAAACACTCTTTTTGCGGAATTTGCAAGTGGAGATTTCTAGCCATTTGATGCCAACAGTAGAAAGGGAAATATCTTCAAATAAAAACCAGACAGAATCATTCTCAGAAAATTCTTTGTGATGTGTGCGTTCAACTCACATAGTTTAACCTTTCTTTTCATAGAGCAGTTTGGAAACACTCTGTTTGTAAAGTCTGCAAGTGGATATATGGACCGCATTGAGGCCTTCGTTGGAAACGGGATTTCTTCATTTCATGCTAGACAGAAGAATTCTCAGTAACTTCTTTGTGCTGTGTGTATTCAACTCACAGAGTGGAACGTCCCTTTACACAGAGCAGATTTGAAACACTCTTTTTGTGGAGTTTGCAAGTGGAGATTTCAAGCGATTTGATGCCAGCAGTAGAAAAGGAAATATCTTCAAATAAAAACTAGACAGAATCATTCTCAGAAACTACTTTGTGATGTGTGCCTTCAACTCACAGAGTTTAACCTTTCTTTTCTTAGAGCAGTTTAGAAACACTCTGCTTGTTATGTCTGCAAGTGGATATTTGGACCTCTTTGAGGCCTTCGTTGCAAACGGGGTTTCTTCCTTTCATGCTAGACTAAGAAGAGTTCTCAGTAACTTTTTTGTGTTGTGTGTATTCAAATCACAGAGTTGAACCTTGCTTTAGAGAGAGCAGATTTGAAACACTCTTGCTGTGGCATTTTCAGGTGGAGATTTCAAGCGATTTGAGGACAATTGCAGAAAAGGAAATATCTTCGTATAATAACCAGACAGAATCATTCTCAGAAAGTGCTTTGTGATGTGTGCGTTCAACTCACAGAGTTTAACTTTTCTTTCCATAGAGGAGTTTGGAAACACACTGTTTGTAAAGTCTGCAAGTGGATATATGGACCTGTTTGAGGCCTTCGTTGGAAACGGGATTTCTTCATTGAATGCTAGACGGAAGAATTCTCAGTAAATTCTTTGTGTTGTGTGCATTCAACTGACAGAGTGGAACGTCCCTTTAGACAGAGCAGATTTGAAACACTCTTTTTGCGGAATTTGCAAGTGGAGATTTCTAGCCATTTGATGCCAACAGTAGAAAGGGAAATATCTTCAAATAAAAACCAGACAGAATCATTCTCAGAAAATTCTTTGTGATGTGTGCGTTCAACTCACATAGTTTAACCTTTCTTTTCATAGAGCAGTTTGGAAACACTCTGTTTGTAAAGTCTGCAAGTGGATATATGGACCGCATTGAGGCCTTCGTTGGAAACGGGATTTCTTCATTTCATGCTAGACAGAAGAATTCTCAGTAACTTCTTTGTGCTGTGTGTATTCAACTCACAGAGTGGAACGTTCCTTTACACAGAACAGATTTGAAACACTCTTTTTGTGGAATTTGCAAGTGGAGATTTCAAGCGATTTGATGCCAACAGTAGAAAAGGAAATATCTTCAAATAAAAACTAGACAGAATCATTATCAGAAACTACTTTGTGATGTGTGCCTTCAACTCACAGAGTTTAACCTTTCTTTTCTTAGAGCAGTTTAGAAACACTCTGCTTGTTATGTCTGCAAGTGGATATTTGGACCTCTTTGAGGCCTTCGTTGCAAACGGGGTTTCTTCCTTTCATGCTAGACTAAGAAGAGTTCTCAGTAACTTTTTTGTGTTGTGTGTATTCAACTCACAGAGTTGAACCTTGCTTTAGAGAGAGCAGATTTGAAACACTCTTGCTGTGGCATTTTCAGGTGGAGATTTCAAGCGATTTGAGGACAATTGCAGAAAAGGAAATATCTTCGTATAATAACCAGACAGAATCATTCTCAGAAAGTGCTTTGTGATGTGTGCGTTCAACTCACAGAGTTTAACCTTTCTTTTCATAGAGGAGTTTGGAAACACACTGTTTGTAAAGTCTGCAATTGGATATATGGACCTGTTTGAGGCCTTCGTTGGAAACGGGATTTCTTCATTGAATGCTAGACGGAAGAATTCTCAGTAAATTCTTTGTGTTGTGTGCATTCAACTCACAGAGTGGAACGTCCCTTTAGACAGAGCAGATTTGAAACACTCTTTTTGCGGAATTTGCAAGTGGAGATTTCTAGCCATTTGATGTCAACAGTAGAAAGGGAAATATCTTCAAATAAAAACCAGACAGAATCATTCTCAGAAAATTCTTTGTGATGTGTGCGTTCAACTCACATAGTTTAACCTTTCTTTTCATAGAGCAGTTTGGAAACACTCTGTTTGTAAAGTCTGCAAGTGGATATATGGACCGCATTGAGGCCTTCGTTGGAAACGGGATTTCTTCATTTCATGCTAGACAGAAGAATTCTCAGTAACTTCTTTGTGCTGTGTGTATTCAACTCACAGAGTGGAACGTCCCTTTGCACAGAGCAGATTTGAAACACTCTTTTTGTGGAGTTTGCAAGTGGAGATTTCAAGCGATTTGATGCCAACAGTAGAAAAGGAAATATCTTCAAATAAAAACTAGACAGAATCATTCTCAGAAACTACTTTGTGATGTGTGCCTTCAACTCACAGAGTTTAACCTTTCTTTTCTTAGAGCAGTTTAGAAACACTCTGCTTGTTATGTCTGCAAGTGGATATTTGGACCTCTTTGAGGCCTTCGTTGCAAACGGGGTTTCTTCCTTTCATGCTAGACTAAGAAGAGTTCTCAGTAACTTTTTTGTGTTGTGTGTATTCAACTCACAGAGTTGAACCTTGCTTTAGAGAGAGCAGATTTTAAACATTCTTGCTGTGGCATTTTCAGGTGGAGATTTCAAGCGTTTTGAGGACAATTGCAGAAAAGGAAATATCTTCGTATAATAACCAGACAGAATCATTCTCAGAAAGTGCTTTGTGATGTGTGCGTTCCACTCACAGAGTTTAACCTTTCTTTTCATAGAGGAGTTTGGAAACACACTGTTTGTAAAGTCTGCAAGTGGATATATGGACCTGTTTGAGGCCTTCGTTGGAAACGGGATTTCTTCATTGAATGCTAGACGGAAGAATTCTCAGTAAATTCTTTGTGTTGTGTGCATTCAACTCACAGAGTGGAACGTCCCTTTAGACAGAGCAGATTTGAAACACTCTTTTTGCGGAATTTGCAAGTGGAGATTTCTAGCCATTTGATGCCAACAGTAGAAAGGGAAATATCTTCAAATAAAAACCAGACAGAATCATTCTCAGAAAATTCTTTGTGATGTGTGCGTTCAACTCACATAGTTTAACCTTTCTTTTCATAGAGCAGTTTGGAAACACTCTGTTTGTAAAGTCTGCAAGTGGATATATGGACCGCATTGAGGCCTTCGTTGGAAACGGGATTTCTTCATTTCATGCTAGACAGAAGAATTCTCAGTAACTTCTTTGTGCTGTGTGTATTCAACTCACAGAGTGGAACGTCCCTTTGCACAGAGCAGATTTGAAACACTCTTTTTGTGGAATTTGCAAGTGGAGATTTCAAGCGATTTGATGCCAACAGTAGAAAAGGAAATATCTTCAAATAAAAACTAGACAGAATCATTCTCAGAAACTACTTTGTGATGTGTGCCTTCAACTCACAGAGTTTAACCTTTCTTTTCTTAGAGCAGTTTAGAAACACTCTGCTTGTTATGTCTGCAAGTGGATATTTGGACCTCTTTGAGGCCTTCGTTGCAAACGGGGTTTCTTCCTTTCATGCTAGACTAAGAAGAGTTCTCAGTAACTTTTTTGTGTTGTGTGTATTCAACTCACAGAGTTGAACCTTGCTTTAGAGAGAGCAGATTTGAAACACTCTTGCTGTGGCATTTTCAGGTGGAGATTTCAAGCGATTTGAGGACAATTGCAGAAAAGGAAATATCTTCGTATAATAACCAGACAGAATCATTCTCAGAAAGTGCTTTGTGATGTGTGCGTTCAACTCACAGAGTTTAACCTTTCTTTTCATAGAGGAGTTTGGAAACACACTGTTTGTAAAGTCTGCAATTGGATATATGGACCTGTTTGAGGCCTTCGTTGGAAACGGGATTTCTTCATTGAATGCTAGACGGAAGAATTCTCAGTAAATTCTTTGTGTTGTGTGCATTCAACTCACAGAGTGGAACGTCCCTTTAGACAGAGCAGATTTGAAACACTCTTTTTGCGGAATTTGCAAGTGGAGATTTCTAGCCATTTGATGCCAACAGTAGAAAGGGAAACATCTTCAAATAAAAACCAGACAGAATCATTCTCAGAAAATTCTTTGTGATGTGTGCGTTCAACTCACATAGTTTAACCTTTCTTTTCATAGAGCAGTTTGGAAACACTCTGTTTGTAAAGTCTGCAAGTGGATATATGGACCGCATTGAGGCCTTCGTTGGAAACGGGGTTTCTTCATTTCATGCTAGACAGAAGAATTCTCAGTAACTTCTTTGTGCTGTGTGTATTCAACTCACAGAGTGGAACGTCCCTTTGCACAGAGCAGATTTGAAACACTCTTTTTGTGGAGTTTGCAAGTGGAGATTTCAAGCGATTTGATGCCAACAGTAGAAAAGGAAATATCTTCAAATAAAAACTAGACAGAATCATTCTCAGAAACTACTTTGTGATGTGTGCCTTCAACTCACAGAGTTTAACCTTTCTTTTCTTAGAGCAGTTTAGAAACACTCTGCTTGTTATGTCTGCAAGTGGATATTTGGACCTCTTTGAGGCCTTCGTTGCAAACGGGGTTTCTTCCTTTCATGCTAGACTAAGAAGAGTTCTCAGTAACTTTTTTGTGTTGTGTGTATTCAACTCACAGAGTTGAACCTTGCTTTAGAGAGAGCAGATTTGAAACACTCTTGCTGTGGCATTTTCAGGTGGAGATTTCAAGCGATTTGAGGACAATTGCAGAAAAGGAAATATCTTCGTATAATAACCAGACAGAATCATTCTCAGAAAGTGCTTTGTGTTGTGTGCGTTCAACTCACAGAGTTTAACCTTTCTTTTCATAGAGGAGTTTGGAAACACACTGTTTGTAAAGTCTGCAATTGGATATATGGACCTGTTTGAGGCCTTCGTTGGAAACGGGATTTCTTCATTGAATGCTAGACGGAAGAATTCTCAGTAAATTCTTTGTGTTGTGTGCATTCAACTCACAGAGTGGAACGTCCCTTTAGACAGAGCAGATTTGAAACACTCTTTTTGCGTAATTTGCAAGTGGAGATTTCTAGCCATTTGATGCCAACAGTAGAAAGGGAAATATCTTCAAATAAAAACCAGACAGAATCATTCTCAGAAAATTCTTTGTGATGTGTGCGTTCAACTCACATAGTTTAACCTTTCTTTTCATAGAGCAGTTTGGAAACACTCTGTTTGTAAAGTCTGCAAGTGGATATATGGACCGCATTGAGGCCTTCGTTGGAAACGGGATTTCTTCATTTCATGCTAGACAGAAGAATTCTCAGTAACTTCTTTGTGCTGTGTGTATTCAACTCACAGAGTGGAACGTCCCTTTACACAGAGCAGATTTGAAACACTCTTTTTGTGGAATTTGCAAGTGGAGATTTCAAGCGATTTGATGCCAACAGTAGAAAAGGAAATATCTTCAAATAAAAACTAGACAGAATCATTCTCAGAAACTACTTTGTGATGTGTGCCTTCAACTCACAGAGTTTAACCTTTCTTTTCTTAGAGCAGTTTAGAAACACTCTGCTTGTTATGTCTGCAAGTGGATATTTGGACCTCTTTGAGGCCTTCGTTGCAAACGGGGTTTCTTCCTTTCATGCTAGACTAAGAAGAGTTCTCAGTAACTTTTTTGTGTTGTGTGTATTCAACTCACAGAGTTGAACCTTGCTTTAGAGAGAGCAGATTTGAAACACTCTTGCTGTGGCATTTTCAGGTGGAGATTTCAAGCGATTTGAGGACAATTGCAGAAAAGGAAATATCTTCGTATAATAACCAGACAGAATCATTCTCAGAAAGTGCTTTGTGATGTGTGCGTTCCACTCACAGAGTTTAACCTTTCTTTTCATAGAGGAGTTTGGAAACAAACTGTTTGTAAAGTCTGCAAGTGGATATATGGACCTGTTTGAGGCCTTCGTTGGAAACGGGATTTCTTCATTGAATGCTAGACGGAAGAATTCTCAGTAAATACTTTGTGTTGTGTGCATTCAACTGACAGAGTGGAACGTCCCTTTAGACAGAGCAGATTTGAAACACTCTTTTTGCGGAATTTGCAAGTGGAGATTTCTAGCCATTTGATGCCAACAGTAGAAAGGGAAATATCTTCAAATAAAAACCAGACAGAATCATTCTCAGAAAATTCTTTGTGATGTGTGCGTTCAACTCACATAGTTTAACCTTTCTTTTCATAGAGCAGTTTGGAAACACTCTGTTTGTAAAGTCTGCAAGTGGATATATGGACCGCATTGAGGCCTTCGTTGGAAACGGGATTTCTTCATTTCATGCTAGACAGAAGAATTCTCAGTAACTTCTTTGTGCTGTGTGTATTCAACTCACAGAGTGGAACGTCCCTTTGCACAGAGCAGATTTTAAACACTCTTTTTGTGGAGTTTGCAAGTGGAGATTTCAAGCGATTTGATGCCAACAGTAGAAAAGGAAATATCTTCAAATAAAAACTAGACAGAATCATTCTCAGAAACTACTTTGTGATGTGTGCCTTCAACTCACAGAGTTTAACCTTTCTTTTCTTAGAGCACTTTAGAAACACTCTGCTTGTTATGTCTGCAAGTGGATATTTGGACCTCTTTGAGGCCTTCGTTGCAAACGGGGTTTCTTCCTTTCATGCTAGACTAAGAAGAGTTCTCAGTAACTTTTTTGTGTTGTGTGTATTCAACTCACAGAGTTGAACCTTGCTTTAGAGAGAGCAGATTTGAAACACTCTTGCTGTGGCATTTTCAGGTGGAGATTTCAAGCGATTTGAGGACAATTGCAGAAAAGGAAATATCTTCGTATAATAACCAGACAGAATCATTCTCAGAAAGCGCTTTGTGATGTGTGCGTTCCACTCACAGAGTTTAACCTTTCTTTTCATACAGGAGTTTGGAAACACACTGTTTGTAAAGTCTGCAAGTGGATATATGGACCTGTTTGAGGCCTTCGTTGGAAACGGGATTTCTTCATTGAATGCTAGACGGAAGAATTCTCAGTAAATTCTTTGTGTTGTGTGCATTCAACTCACAGAGTGGAACGTCCCTTTAGACAGAGCAGATTTGAAACACTCTTTTTGCGGAATTTGCAAGTGGAGATTTCTAGCCATTTGATGCCAACAGTAGAAAGGGAAATATCTTCAAATAAAAACCAGACAGAATCATTCTCAGAAAATTCTTTGTGATGTGTGCGTTCAACTCACATAGTTTAACCTTTCTTTTCATAGAGCAGTTTGGAAACACTCTGTTTGTAAAGTCTGCAAGTGGATATATGGACCGCATTGAGGCCTTCGTTGGAAACGGGATTTCTTCATTTCATGCTAGACAGAAGAATTCTCAGTAACTTCTTTGTGCTGTGTGTATTCAACTCACAGAGTGGAACGTCCCTTTGCACAGAGCAGATTTGAAACACTCTTTTTGTGGAGTTTGCAAGTGGAGATTTCAAGCGATTTGATGCCAACAGTAGAAAAGGAAATATCTTCAAATAAAAACTAGACAGAATCATTCTCAGAAACTACTTTGTGATGTGTGCCTTCAACTCACAGAGTTTAACCTTTCTTTTCTTAGAGCAGTTTAGAAACACTCTGCTTGTTATGTCTGCAAGTGGATATTTGGACCTCTTTGAGGCCTTCGTTGCAAACGGGGTTTCTTCCTTTCATGCTAGACTAAGAAGAGTTCTCAGTAACTTTTTCGTGTTGTGTGTATTCAACTCACAGAGTTGAACCTTGCTTTAGAGAGAGCAGATTTGAAACACTCTTGCTGTGGCATTTTCAGGTGGAGATTTCAAGCGATTTGAGGACAATTGCAGAAAAGGAAATATCTTCGTATAATAACCAGACAGAATCATTCTCAGAAAGTGCTTTGTGATGTGTGCGTTCAACTCACAGAGTTTAACCTTTCTTTTCATAGAGGAGTTTGGAAACACACTGTTTGTAAAGTCTGCAATTGGATATATGGACCTGTTTGAGGCCTTCGTTGGAAACGGGATTTCTTCATTGAATGCTAGACGGAAGAATTCTCAGTAAATTCTTTGTGTTGTGTGCATTCAACTCACAGAGTGGAACGTCCCTTTAGACAGAGCAGATTTGAAACACTCTTTTTGCGGAATTTGCAAGTGGAGATTTACTAGCCATTTGATGCCAACAGTAGAAAGGGAAATATCTTCAAATAAAAACCAGACAGAATCATTCTCAGAAAATTCTTTGTGATGTGTGCGTTCAACTCACATAGTTTAACCTTTCTTTTCATAGAGCAGTTTGGAAACACTCTGTTTGTAAAGTCTGCAAGTGGATATATGGACCGCATTGAGGCCTTCGTTGGAAACGGGATTTCTTCATTTCATGCTAGCCAGAAGAATTCTCAGTAACTTCTTTGTGCTGTGTGTATTCAACTCACAGAGTGGAACGTCCCTTTACACAGAGCAGATTTGAAACACTCTTTTTGTGGAGTTTGCAAGTGGAGATTTCAAGCGATTTGATGCCAACAGTAGAAAAGGAAATATCTTCAAATAAAAACTAGACAGAATCATTCTCAGAAACTACTTTGTGATGTGTGCCTTCAACTCACAGAGTTTAACCTTTCTTTTCTTAGAGCAGTTTAGAAACACTCTGCTTGTTATGTCTGCAAGTGGATATTTGGACCTCTTTGAGGCCTTCGTTGCAAACGGGGTTTCTTCCTTTCATGCTAGACTAAGAAGAGTTCTCAGTAACTTTTTTGTGTTGTGTGTATTCAACTCACAGAGCTGAACCTTGCTTTAGAGAGAGCAGATTTGAAACACTCTTGCTGTGGCATTTTCAGGTGGAGATTTCAAGCGATTTGAGGACAATTGCAGAAAAGGAAATATCTTCGTATAACAACCAGACAGAATCATTCTCAGAAAGTGCTTTGTGATGTGTGCGTTCAACTCACAGAGTTTAACCTTTCTTTTCATAGAGGAGTTTGGAAACACACTGTTTGTAAAGTCTGCAATTGGATATATGGACCTGTTTGAGGCCTTCGTTGGAAACGGGATTTCTTCATTGAATGCTAGACGGAAGAATTCTCAGTAAATTCTTTGTGTTGTGTGCATTCAACTCACAGAGTGGAACGTCCCTTTAGACACAGCAGATTTGAAACACTCTTTTTGCGGAATTTGCAAGTGGAGATTTCTAGCCATTTGATGCCAACAGTAGAAAGGGAAATATCTTCAAATAAAAACCAGACAGAATCATTCTCAGAAAATTCTTTGTGATGTGTGCGTTCAACTCACATAGTTTAACCTTTCTTTTCATAGAGCAGTTTGGAAACACTCTGTTTGTAAAGTCTGCAAGTGGATATATGGACCGCATTGAGGCCCTTCGTTGGAAACGGGATTTCTTCATTTCATGCTAGACAGAAGAATTCTCAGTAACTTCTTTGTGCTGTGTGTATTCAACTCACAGAGTGGAACGTCCCTTTACACAGAGCAGATTTGAAACACTCTTTTTGTGGAGTTTGCAAGTGGAGATTTCAAGCGATTTGATGCCAACAGTAGAAAAGGAAATATCTTCAAATAAAAACTAGACAGAATCATTCTCAGAAACTACTTTGTGATGTGTGCCTTCAACTCACAGAGTTTAACCTTTCTTTTCTTAGAGCAGTTTAGAAACACTCTGCTTGTTATGTCTGCAAGTGGATATTTGGACCTCTTTGAGGCCTTCGTTGCAAACGGGGTTTCTTCCTTTCATGCTAGACTAAGAAGAGTTCTCAGTAACTTTTTTGTGTTGTGTGTATTCAACTCACAGAGTTGAACCTTGCTTTAGAGAGAGCAGATTTGAAACACTCTTGCTGTGGCATTTTCAGGTGGAGATTTCAAGCGATTTGAGGACAATTGCAGAAAAGGAAATATCTTCGTATAATAACCAGACAGAATCATTCTCAGAAAGTGCTTTGTGATGTGTGCGTTCCACTCACAGAGTTTAACCTTTCTTTTCATAGAGGAGTTTGGAAACACACTGTTTGTAAAGTCTGCAATTGGATATATGGACCTGTTTGAGGCCTTCGTTGGAAACGGGATTTCTTCATTGAATGCTAGACGGAAGAATTCTCAGTAAATTCTTTGTGTTGTGTGCATTCAACTGACAGAGTGGAACGTCCCTTAAGACAGAGCAGATTTGAAACACTCTTTTTGTGGAATTTGCAAGTGGAGATTTCTAGCCATTTGATGCCAACAGTAGAAAGGGAAATATCTTCAAATAAAAACCAGACAGAATCATTCTCAGAAAATTCTTTGTGATGTGTGCGTTCAACTCACATAGTTTAACCTTTCTTTTCATAGAGCAGTTTGGAAACACTCTGTTTGTAAAGTCTGCAAGTGGATATATGGACCGCATTGAGGCCTTCGTTGGAAACGGGATTTCTTCATTTCATGCTAGACAGAAGAATTCTCAGTAACTTCTTTGTGCTGTGTGTATTCAACTCACAGAGTGGAACGTCCCTTTGCACAGAGCAGATTTGAAACACTCTTTTTGTGGAGTTTGCAAGTGGAGATTTCAAGCGATTTGATGCCAACAGTAGAAAAGGAAATATCTTCAAATAAAAACTAGACAGAATCATTCTCAGAAACTACTTTGTGATGTGTGCCTTCAACTCACAGAGTTTAACCTTTCTTTTCTTAGAGCAGTTTAGAAACACTCTGCTTGTTATGTCTGCAAGTGGATATTTGGACCTCTTTGAGGCCTTCGTTGCAAACGGGGTTTCTTCCTTTCATGCTAGACTAAGAAGAGTTCTCAGTAACTTTTTTGTGTTGTGTGTATTCAACTCACAGAGTTGAACCTTGCTTTAGAGAGAGCAGATTTGAAACACTCTTGCTGTGGCATTTTCAGGTGGAGATTTCAAGCGATTTGAGGACAATTGCAGAAAAGGAAATATCTTCGTATAATAACCAGACAGAATCATTATCAGAAAGTGCTTTGTGATGTGTGCATTCAACTCACAGAGTTAACCTTTCTTTTCATAAAGGAGTTTGGAAACACACTGTTTGTAAAGTCTGCAATTGGATATATGGACCTGTTTGAGGCCTTCGTTGGAAACGGGATTTCTTCATTGAATGCTAGACGGAAGAATTCTCAGTAAATTCTTTGTGTTGTGTGCATTCAACTCACAGAGTGGAACGTCCCTTTAGACAGAGCAGATTTGAAACACTCTTTTTGCGGAATTTGCAAGTGGAGATTTCTAGCCATTTGATGCCAACAGTAGAAAGGGAAATATCTTCAAATAAAAACCAGACAGAATCATTCTCAGAAAATTCTTTGTGATGTGTGCGTTCAACTCACATAGTTTAACCTTTCTTTTCATAGAGCAGTTTGGAAACACTCTGTTTGTAAAGTCTGCAAGTGGATATATGGACCGCATTGAGGCCTTCGTTGGAAACGGGATTTCTTCATTTCATGCTAGACAGAAGAATTCTCAGTAACTTCTTTGTGCTGTGTGTATTCAACTCACAGAGTGGGAACGTCCCTTTACACAGAGCAGATTTGAAACACTCTTTTTGTGGAATTTGCAAGTGGAGATTTCAAGCGATTTGATGCCAACAGTAGAAAAGGAGATATCTTCAAATAAAAACTAGACAGAATCATTCTCAGAAACTACTTTGTGATGTGTGCCTTCAACTCACAGAGTTTAACCTTTCTTTTCTTAGAGCAGTTTAGAAACACTCTGCTTGTTATGTCTGCAAGTGGATATTTGGACCTCTTTGAGGCCTTCGTTGCAAACGGGGTTTCTTCCTTTCATGCTAGACTAAGAAGAGTTCTCAGTAACTTTTTTGTGTTGTGTGTATTCAACTCACAGAGTTGAACCTTGCTTTAGAGAGAGCAGATTTGAAACACTCTTGCTGTGGCATTTTCAGGTGGAGATTTCAAGCGTTTTGAGGACAATTGCAGAAAAGGAAATATCTTCGTATAATAACCAGACAGAATCATTCTCAGAAAGTGCTTTGTGATGTGTGCGTTCAACTCACAGAGTTTAACCTTTCTTTTCATAGAGGAGTTTGGAAACACACTGTTTGTAAAGTCTGCAATTGGATATATGGACCTGTTTGAGGCCTTCGTTGGAAACGGGATTTCTTCATTGAATGCTAGACGGAAGAATTCTCAGTAAATTCTTTGTGTTGTGTGCATTCAACTGACAGAGTGGAACGTCCCTTTAGACAGAGCAGATTTGAAACACTCTTTTTGCGGAATTTGCAAGTGGAGATTTCTAGCCATTTGATGCCAACAGTAGAAAGGGAAATATCTTCAAATAAAAACCAGACAGAATCATTCTCAGAAAATTCTTTGTGATGTGTGCGTTCAACTCACATAGTTTAACCTTTCTTTTCATAGAGCAGTTTGGAAACACTCTGTTTGTAAAGTCTGCAAGTGGATATATGGACCGCATTGAGGCCTTCGTTGGAAACGGGATTTCTTCATTTCATGCTAGACAGAAGAATTCTCAGTAACTTCTTTGTGCTGTGTGTATTCAACTCACAGAGTGGAACGTCCCTTTACACAGAGCAGATTTGAAACACTCTTTTTGTGGAGTTTGCAAGTGGAGATTTCAAGCGATTTGATGCCAACAGTAGAAAAGGAAATATCTTCAAATAAAAACTAGACAGAATCATTCTCAGAAACTACTTTGTGATGTGTGCCTTCAACTCACAGAGTTTAACCTTTCTTTTCTTAGAGCAGTTTAGAAACACTCTGCTTGTTATGTCTGCAAGTGGATATTTGGACCTCTTTGAGGCCTTCGTTGCAAACGGGGTTTCTTCCTTTCATGCTAGACTAAGAAGAGTTCTCAGTAACTTTTTTGTGTTGTGTGTATTCAACTCACAGAGTTGAACCTTGCTTTAGAGAGAGCAGATTTGAAACACTCTTGCTGTGGCATTTTCAGGTGGAGATTTCAAGCGATTTGAGGACAATTGCAGAAAAAGAAATATCTTCGTATAATAACCAGACAGAATCATTCTCAGAAAGTGCTTTGTGATGTGTGCGTTCAACTCACAGAGTTTAACCTTTCTTTTCATAGAGGAGTTTGGAAACACACTGTTTGTAAAGTCTGCAAGTGGATATATGGACCTGTTTGAGGCCTTCGTTGGAAACGGGATTTCTTCATTGAATGCTAGACGGAAGAATTCTCAGTAAATTCTTTGTGTTGTGTGCATTCAACTCACAGAGTGGAACGTCCCTTTAGACAGAGCAGATTTGAAACACTCTTTTTACGGAATTTGCAAGTGGAGATTTCTAGCAATTTGATGCCAACAGTAGAAAGGGAAATATCTTCAAATAAAAACCAGACAGAATCATTCTCAGAAAATTCTTTGTGATGTGTGCGTTCAACTCACATAGTTTAACCTTTCTTTTCATAGAGCAGTTTGGAAACACTCTGTTTGTAAAGTCTGCAAGTGGATCTATGGACCGCATTGAGGCCTTCGTTGGAAACGGGATTTCTTCATTTCATGCTAGACAGAAGAATTCTCAGTAACTTCTTTGTGCTGTGTGTATTCAACTCACAGAGTGGAACGTCCCTTTGCACAGAGCAGATTTGAAACACTCTTTTTGTGGAGTTTGCAAGTGGAGATTTCAAGCGATTTGATGCCAACAGTAGAAAAGGAAATATCTTCAAATAAAAACTAGACAGAATCATTCTCAGAAACTACTTTGTGATGTGTGCCTTCAACTCACAGAGTTTAACCTTTCTTTTCTTAGAGCAGTTTAGAAACACTCTGCTTGTTATGTCTGCAAGTGGATATTTGGACCTCTTTGAGGCCTTCGTTGCAAACGGGGTTTCTTCCTTTCATGCTAGACTAAGAAGAGTTCTCAGTAACTTTTTTGTGTTGTGTGTATTCAACTCACAGAGTTGAACCTTGCTTTAGAGAGAGCAGATTTGAAACACTCTTGCTGTGGCATTTTCAGGTGGAGATTTCAAGCGATTTGAGGACAATTGCAGAAAAGGAAATATCTTCGTATAATAACCAGACAGAATCATTCTCAGAAAGTGCTTTGTGATGTGTGCGTTCAACTCACAGAGTTTAACCTTTCTTTTCATAGAGGAGTTTGGAAACACACTGTTTGTAAAGTCTGCAATTGGATATATGGACCTGTTTGAGGCCTCCGTTGGAAACGGGATTTCTTCATTGAATGCTAGACGGAAGAATTCTCAGTAAATTCTTTGTGTTGTGTGCATTCAACTCACAGAGTGGAACGTCCCTTTAGACAGAGCAGATTTGAAACACTCTTTTTGCGGAATTTGCAAGTGGAGATTTCTAGCCATTTGATGCCAACAGTAGAAAGGGAAATATCTTCAAATAAAAACCAGACAGAATCATTCTCAGAAAATTCTTTGTGATGTGTGCGTTCAACTCACATAGTTTAACCTTTCTTTTCATAGAGCAGTTTGGAAACACTCTGTTTGTAAAGTCTGCAAGTGGATATATGGACCGCATTGAGGCCTTCGTTGGAAACGGGATTTCTTCATTTCATGCTAGACAGAAGAATTCTCAGTAACTTCTTTGTGCTGTGTGTATTCAACTCACAGAGTGGAACGTCCCTTTACACAGAGCAGATTTGAAACACTCTTTTTGTGGAGTTTGCAAGTGGAGATTTCAAGCGATTTGATGCCAACAGTAGAAAAGGAAATATCTTCAAATAAAAACTAGACAGATAATCATTCTCAGAAACTACTTTGTGATGTGTGCCTTCAACTCACAGAGTTTAACCTTTCTTTTCTTAGAGCAGTTTAGAAACACTCTGCTTGTTATGTCTGCAAGTGGATATTTGGACCTCTTTGAGGCCTTCGTTGCAAACGGGGTTTCTTCCGTTCATGCTAGACTAAGAAGAGTTCTCAGTAACTTTTTTGTGTTGTGTGTATTCAACTCACAGAGTTGAACCTTGCTTTAGAGAGAGCAGATTTGAAACACTCTTGCTGTGGCATTTTCAGGTGGAGATTTCAAGCGATTTGAGGACAATTGCAGAAAAGGAAATATCTTCGTATAATAACCAGACAGAATCATTCTCAGAAAGTGCTTTGTGATGTGTGCGTTCCACTCACAGAGTTTAACCTTTCTTTTCATAGAGGAGTTTGGAAACACACTGTTTGTAAAGTCTGCAAGTGGATATATGGACCTGTTTGAGGCCTTCGTTGGAAACGGGATTTCTTCATTGAATGCTAGACGGAAGAATTCTCAGTAAATTCTTTGTGTTGTGTGCATTCAACTCACAGAGTGGAACGTCCCTTTAGACAGAGCAGATTTGAAACACTCTTTTTGCGGAATTTGCAAGTGGAGATTTCTAGCCATTTGATGCCAACAGTAGAAAGGGAAATATCTTCAAATAAAAACCAGACAGAATCATTCTCAGAAAATTCTTTGTGATGTGTGCGTTCAACTCACATAGTTTAACCTTTCTTTTCATAGAGCAGTTTGGAAACACTCTGTTTGTAAAGTCTGCAAGTGGATATATGGACCGCATTGAGGCCTTCGTTGGAAACGGGATTTCTTCATTTCATGCTAGACAGAAGAATTCTCAGTAACTTCTTTGTGCTGTGTGTATTCAACTCACAGAGTGGAACGTCCCTTTGCACAGAGCAGATTTGAAACACTCTTTTTGTGGAGTTTGCAAGTGGAGATTTCAAGCGATTTGATGCCAACAGTAGAAAAGGAAATATCTTCAAATAAAAACTAGACAGAATCATTCTCAGAAACTACTTTGTGATGTGTGCCTTCAACTCACAGAGTTTAACCTTTCTTTTCTTAGAGCAGTTTAGAAACACTCTGCTTGTTATGTCTGCAAGTGGATATTTGGACCTCTTTGAGGCCTTCGTTGCAAACGGGGTTTCTTCCTTTCATGCTAGACTAAGAAGAGTTCTCAGTAACTTTTTTGTGTTGTGTGTATTCAACTCACAGAGTTGAACCTTGCTTTAGAGAGAGCAGATTTGAAACACTCTTGCTGTGGCATTTTCAGGTGGAGATTTCAAGCGTTTTGAGGACAATTGCAGAAAAGGAAATATCTTCGTATAATAACCAGACAGAATCATTCTCAGAAAGTGCTTTGTGATGTGTGCGTTCAACTCACAGAGTTTAACCTTTCTTTTCATAGAGGAGTTTGGAAACACACTGTTTGTAAAGTCTGCAATTGGATATATGGACCTGTTTGAGGCCTTCGTTGGAAACGGGATTTCTTCATTGCATGCTAGACGGAAGAATTCTCAGTAAATTCTTTGTGTTGTGTGCATTCAACTCACAGAGTGGAACGTCCCTTTACACAGAGCAGATTTGAAACACTCTTTTTGCGGAATTTGCAAGTGGAGATTTCTAGCCATTTGATGCCAACAGTAGAAAGGGAAATATCTTCAAATAAAAACCAGACAGAATCATTCTCAGAAAATTCTTTGTGATGTGTGCGTTCAACTCACATAGTTTAACCTTTCTTTTCTTAGAGCAGTTTAGAAACACTCTGCTTGTTATGTCTGCAAGTGGATATTTGGACCTCTTTGAGGCCTTCGTTGCAAACGGGGTTTCTTCCTTTCATGCTAGACTAAGAAGAGTTCTCAGTAACATTTTTGTGTTGTGTGTATTCAACTCACAGAGTTGAACCCTGCTTTAGAGAGAGCAGATTTGAAACACTCTTGCTGTGGCATTTTCAGGTGGAGATTTCAAGCGATTTGAGGACAATTGCAGAAAAGGAAATATCTTCGTATAACAACCAGACAGAATCATTCTCCGAAAGTGCTTTGTGATGTGTGCGTTCAACTCACAGAGTTTAACCTTTCTTTTCATAGAGGAGTTTGGAAACACACTGTTTGTAAAGTCTGCAATTGGATATATGGACCTGTTTGAGGCCTTCGTTGGAAACGGGATTTCTTCATTGAATGCTAGACGGAAGAATTCTCAGTAAATTCTTTGTGTTGTGTGCATTCAACTCACAGAGTGGAACGTCCCTTAAGACAGAGCAGATTTGAAACACTCTTTTTGCGGAATTTGCAAGTGGAGATTTCTAGCCATTTGATGCCAACAGTAGAAAGGGAAATATCTTCAAATAAAAACCAGACAGAATCATTCTCAGAAAATTCTTTGTGATGTGTGCGTTCAACTCACATAGTTTAACCTTTCTTTTCATAGAGCAGTTTGGAAACACTCTGTTTGTAAAGTCTGCAAGTGGATCTATGGACCGCATTGAGGCCTTCGTTGGAAACGGGATTTCTTCATTTCATGCTAGACAGAAGAATTCTCAGTAACTTCTGTGTGCTGTGTGTATTCAACTCACAGAGTGGAACGTCCCTTTACACAGAGCAGATTTGAAACACTCTTTTTGTGGAGTTTGCAAGTGGAGATTTCAAGCGATTTGATGCCAACAGTAGAAAAGGAAATATCTTCCAATATAAACTAGACAGAATCATTCTCAGAAACTACTTTGTGATGTGTGCCTTCAACTCACAGAGTTTAACCTTTCTTTTCTTAGAGCAGTTTAGAAACACTCTGCTTGTTATGTCTGCAAGTGGATATTTGGACCTCTTTGAGGCCTTCGTTGCAAACGGGGTTTCTTCCTTTCATGCTAGACTAAGAAGAGTTCTCAGTAACTTTTTTGTGTTGTGTGTATTCAACTCACAGAGCTGAACCTTGCTTTAGAGAGAGCAGATTTGAAACACTCTTGCTGTGGCATTTTCAGGTGGAGATTTCAAGCGATTTGAGGACAATTGCAGAAAAGGAAATATCTTCGTATAACAACCAGACAGATAATCATTCTCAGAAAGTGCTTTGTGATGTGTGCGTTCCACTCACAGAGTTTAACCTTTCTTTTCATAGAGGAGTTTGGAAACACACTGTTTGTAAACTCTGCAAGTGGATATATGGACCTCTTTGAGGCCTTCGTTGGAAACGGGATTTCTTCATTGAATGCTAGACGGAAGAATTCTCAGTAAATTCTTTGTGTTGTGTGCATTCAACTCACAGAGTGGAACGTCCCTTTAGACAGAGCAGATTTGAAACACTCTTTTTGCGGAATTTGCAAGTGGAGATTTCTAGCCATTTGATGCCAACAGTAGAAAGGGAAATATCTTCAAATAAAAACCAGACAGAATCATTCTCAGAAAATTCTTTGTGATGTGTGCGTTCAACTCACATAGTTTAACCTTTCTTTTCATAGAGCAGTTTGGAAACACTCTGTTTGTAAAGTCTGCAAGTGGATATATGGACCGCATTGAGGCCTTCGTTGGAAACGGGATTTCTTCATTTCATGCTAGACAGAAGAATTCTCAGTAACTTCTTTGTGCTGTGTGTATTCAACTCACAGAGTGGAACGTCCCTTTACACAGAGCAGATTTGAAACACTCTTTTTGTGGAGTTTGCAAGTGGAGATTTCAAGCGATTTGATGCCAACAGTAGAAAAGGAAATATCTTCAAATAAAAACTAGACAGAATCATTCTCAGAAACTACTTTGTGATGTGTGCCTTCAACTCACAGAGTTTAACCTTTCTTTTCTTAGAGCAGTTTAGAAACACTCTGCTTGTTATGTCTGCAAGTGGATATTTGGACCTCTTTGAGGCCTTTGTTGCAAACGGGGTTTCTTCCTTTCATGCTAGACTAAGAAGAGTTCTCAGTAACTTTTTTGTGTTGTGTGTATTCAACTCACAGAGTTGAACCTTGCTTTAGAGAGAGCAGATTTGAAACACTCTTGCTGTGGCATTTTCAGGTGGAGATTTCAAGCGATTTGAGGACAATTGCAGAAAAGGAAATATCTTCGTATAACAACCAGACAGAATCATTCTCAGAAAGTGCTTTGTGATGTGTGCGTTCCACTCACAGAGTTTAACCTTTCTTTTCATAGAGGAGTTTGGAAACACACTGTTTGTAAAGTCTGCAAGTGGATATATGGACCTCTTTGAGGCCTTCGTTGGAAACGGGATTTCTTCATTGAATGCTAGACGGAAGAATTCTCAGTAAATTCTTTGTGTTGTGTGCATTCAACTCACAGAGTGGAACGTCCCTTTAGACAGAGCAGATTTGAAACACTCTTTTTGCGGAATTTGCAAGTGGAGATTTCTAGCCATTTGATGCCAACAGTAGAAAGGGAAATATCTTCAAATAAAAACCAGACAGAATCATTCTCAGAAAATTCTTTGTGATGTGTGCGTTCAATTCACATAGTTTAACCTTTCTTTTCATAGAGCAGTTTGGAAACACTCTGTTTGTAAAGTCTGCAAGTGGATATATGGACCGCATTGAGGCCTTCGTTGGAAACGGGATTTCTTCATTTCATGCTAGACAGAAGAATTCTCAATAATTTCTTTGTGTTGTGTGTATTCAACTCACAGAATGGAACGTCCCTTTAGACAGAGCAGATTTGAAACACTCTTTTTGTAGAATTTGCAAGTGGAAATTTCAAGCGATTTGATGCCAACAGTAGAAAAGGAAATATCTTTAAATAAAAACTAGACAGAATTATTCTCAGAAACTACTTTGTGATGTGTGCCATCAACTCACAGAGTTTAACATTTCTTTTCTTAGAGCAGTTTAGAAACACTCTGCTTGCAATGTCTGCAAGTGGATATTTGGACCTCTTTGAGGCCTTCGTTGCAAACGGGATTTCTTCATTTAATGCTAGACTAAGAAGAGTTCTCAGTAACTTTTTTGTGTTGTGTGTATTCAACTCACAGAGTTGAACCTTGCTTTAGAGAGAGCAGATTTGAAACACTCTTGCTGTGGCATTTTCAGGTGGAGATTTCAAGCGTTTTGAGGACAATTGCAGAAAAGGAAATATCTTCGTATAATAACCAGACAGAATCATTCTCAGAAAGTGCTTTGTGATGTGTGCGTTCAACTCACAGAGTTTAACCTTTCTTTTCATAGAGGAGCTTGGAAACACACTGTTTGTAAAGTCTGCAAGTGGATACATGGACCTGTTTGAGGCCTTCGTTGGAAACGGGATTTCTTCATTGAATGCTAGACGGAAGAATTCTCAGTAAATTCTTTGTGTTGTGTGCATTGAACTCACAGAGTGGAACGTCCCTTTAGACAGAGCAGATTTGAAACACTCTTTTTGCGGAATTTGCAAGTGGAGATTTCTAGCCATTTGATGTCAACAGTAGAAATGGAAATATCTTCAAATAAAAACCAGACAGAATCATTCTCAGAAAATTCTTTGTGATGTGTGCGTTCAACTCACATAGTTTAACCTTTCTTTTCATAGAGCAGTTTGGAAACACTCTGTTTGTAAAGTCTGCAAGTGGATATATGGACTGCATTGAGGCCTTCGTTGGAAACGGGATTTCTTCATTTCATGCTAGACAGAAGAATTCTCAGTAACTTCTTTGTGCTGTGTGTATTCAACTCACAGAGTGGAACGTCCCTTTGCACAGAGCAGATTTGAAACACTCTTTTTGTGGAGTTTGCAAGTGGAGATTTCAAGCGATTTGATGCCAACAGTAGAAAAGGAAATATCTTCAAATAAAAACTAGACAGAATCATTCTCAGAAACTACTTTGTGATGTGTGCCTTCAACTCACAGAGTTTAACCTTTCTTTTCTTAGAGCAGTTTAGAAACACTCTGCTTGTTATGTCTGCAAGTGGATATTTGGACCTCTTTGAGGCCTTCGTTGCAAACGGGGTTTCTTCCTTTCATGCTAGACTAAGAAGAGTTCTCAGTAACTTTTTTGTGTTGTGTGTATTCAACTCACAGAGTTGAACCTTGCTTTAGAGAGAGCAGATTTGAAACACTCTTGCTGTGGCATTTTCAGGTGGAGATTTCAAGCGATTTGAGGACAATTGCAGAAAAGGAAATATCTTCGTATAATAACCAGACAGAATCATTCTCAGAAAGTGCTTTGTGATGTGTGCGTTCCACTCACAGAGTTTAACCTTTCTTTTCATAGAGGAGTTTGGAAACACACTGTTTGTAAAGTCTGCAAGTGGATATATGGACCTCTTTGAGGCCTTCGTTGGAAACGGGATTTCTTCATTGAATGCTAGACGGAAGAATTCTCAGTAAATTCTTTGTGTTGTGTGCATTCAACTCACAGAGTGGAACGTCCCTTTAGACAGAGCAGATTTGAAACACTCTTTTTGCGGAATTTGCAAGTGGAGATTTCTAGCCATTTGATGCCAACAGTAGAAAGGGAAATATCTTCAAATAAAAACCAGACAGAATCATTCTCAGAAAATTCTTTGTGATGTGTGCGTTCAACTCACATAGTTTAACCTTTCTTTTCATAGAGCAGTTTGGAAACACTCTGTTTGTAAAGTCTGCAAGTGGATATATGGACCGCATTGAGGCCTTCGTTGGAAACGGGATTTCTTCATTTCATGCTAGACAGAAGAATTCTCAGTAACTTCTTTGTGCTGTGTGTATTCAACTCACAGAGTGGAACGTCCCTTTGCACAGAGCAGATTTGAAACACTCTTTTTGTGGAGTTTGCAAGTGGAGATTTCAAGCGATTTGATGCCAACAGTAGAAAAGGAAATATCTTCAAATAAAAACTAGACAGAATCATTCTCAGAAACTACTTTGTGATGTGTGCCTTCAACTCACAGAGTTTAACCTTTCTTTTCTTAGAGCAGTTTAGAAACACTCTGCTTGTTATGTCTGCAAGTGGATATTTGGACCTCTTTGAGGCCTTCGTTGCAAACGGGGTTTCTTCCTTTCATGCTAGACTAAGAAGAGTTCTCAGTAACTTTTTTGTGTTGTGTGTATTCAACTCACAGAGTTGAACCTTGCTTTAGAGAGAGCAGATTTGAAACACTCTTGCTGTGGCATTTTCAGGTGGAGATTTCAAGCGATTTGAGGACAATTGCAGAAAAGGAAATATCTTCGTATAATAACCAGACAGAATCATTCTCAGAAAGTGCTTTGTGATGTGTGCGTTCAACTCACAGAGTTTAACCTTTCTTTTCATAGAGGAGTTTGGAAACACACTGTTTGTAAAGTCTGCAATTGGATATATGGACCTGTTTGAGGCCTTCTTTGGAAACGGGATTTCTTCATTGAATGCTAGACGGAAGAATTCTCAGTAAATTCTTTGTGTTGTGTGCATTCAACTGACAGAGTGGAACGTCCCTTTAGACAGAGCAGATTTGAAACACTCTTTTTGCGGAATTTGCAAGTGGAGATTTCTAGCCATTTGATGCCAACAGTAGAAAGGGAAATATCTTCAAATAAAAACCAGACAGAATCATTCTCAGAAAATTCTTTGTGATGTGTGCGTTCAACTCACATAGTTTAACCTTTCTTTTCATAGAGCAGTTTGGAAACACTCTGTTTGTAAAGTCTGCAAGTGGATATATGGACCGCATTGAGGCCTTCGTTGGAAACGGGATTTCTTCATTTCATGCTAGACAGAAGAATTCTCAGTAACTTCTTTGTGCTGTGTGTATTCAACTCACAGAGTGGAACGTCCCTTTGCACAGAGCAGATTTGAAACACTCTTTTTGTGGAGTTTGCAAGTGGAGATTTCAAGCGATTTGATGCCAACAGTAGAAAAGGAAATATCTTCAAATAAAAACTAGACAGAATCATTCTCAGAAACTACTTTGTGATGTGTGCCTTCAACTCACAGAGTTTAACCTTTCTTTTCTTAGAGCAGTTTAGAAACACTCTGCTTGTTATGTCTGCAAGTGGATATTTGGACCTCTTTGAGGCCTTCGTTGCAAACGGGGTTTCTTCCTTTCATGCTAGACTAAGAAGAGTTCTCAGTAACTTTTTTGTGTTGTGTGTATTCAACTCACAGAGTTGAACCTTGCTTTAGAGAGAGCAGATTTGAAACACTCTTGCTGTGGCATTTTCAGGTGGAGATTTCAAGCGATTTGAGGACAATTGCAGAAAAGGAAATATCTTCGTATAATAACCAGACAGAATCATTCTCAGAAAGTGCTTTGTGATGTGTGCGTTCAACTCACAGAGTTTAACCTTTCTTTTCATAGAGGAGTTTGGAAACACACTGTTTGTAAAGTCTGCAAGTGGATATATGGACCTGTTTGAGGCCTTCGTTGGAAACGGGATTTCTTCATTGAATGCTAGACGGAAGAATTCTCAGTAAATTCTTTGTGTTGTGTGCATTCAACTCACAGAGTGGAACGTCCCTTTAGACAGAGCAGATTTGAAACACTCTTTTTGCGGAATTTGCAAGTGGAGATTTCTAGCCATTTGATGCCAACAGTAGAAAGGGAAATATCTTCAAATAAAAACCAGACAGAATCATTCTCAGAAAATTCTTTGTGATGTGTGCGTTCAACTCACATAGTTTAACCTTTCTTTTCATAGAGCAGTTTGGAAACACTCTGTTTGTAAAGTCTGCAAGTGGATATATGGACCGCATTGAGGCCTTCGTTGGAAACGGGATTTCTTCATTTCATGCTAGACAGAAGAATTCTCAGTAACTTCTTTGTGCTGTGTGTATTCAACTCACAGAGTGGAACGTCCCTTTGCACAGAGCAGATTTGAAACACTCTTTTTGTGGAGTTTGCAAGTGGAGATTTCAAGCGATTTGATGCCAACAGTAGAAAAGGAAATATCTTCAAATACAAACTAGACAGAATCATTCTCAGAAACTACTTTGTGATGTGTGCCTTCAACTCACAGAGTTTAACCTTTCTTTTCTTAGAGCAGTTTAGAAACACTCTGCTTGTTATGTCTGCAAGTGGATATTTGGACCTCTTTGAGGCCTTCGTTGCAAACGGGGTTTCTTCCGTTCATGCTAGACTAAGAAGAGTTCTCAGTAACTTTTTTGTGTTGTGTGTATTCAACTCACAGAGTTGAACCTTGCTTTAGAGAGAGCAGATTTGAAACACTCTTGCTGTGGCATTTTCAGGTGGAGATTTCAAGCGATTTGAGGACAATTGCAGAAAAGGAAATATCTTCGTATAATAACCAGACAGAATCATTCTCAGAAAGTGCTTTGTGATGTGTGCGTTCAACTCACAGAGTTTAACCTTTCTTTCCATAGAGGAGTTTGGAAACACACTGTTTGTAAAGTCTGCAAGTGGATATATGGACCTGTTTGAGGCCTTCGTTGGAAACGGGATTTCTTCATTGAATGCTAGACGGAAGAATTCTCAGTAAATTCTTTGTGTTGTGTGCATTCAACTCACAGAGTGGAACGTCCCTTTAGACAGAGCAGATTTGAAACACTCTTTTTGCGGAATTTGCAAGTGGAGATTTCTAGCCATTTGATGCCAACAGTAGAAAGGGAAATATCTTCAAATAAAAACCAGACAGAATCATTCTCAGAAAATTCTTTGTGATGTGTGCGTTCAACTCACATAGTTTAACCTTTCTTTTCATAGAGCAGTTTGGAAACACTCTGTTTGTAAAGTCTGCAAGTGGATATATGGACCGCATTGAGGCCTTCGTTGGAAACGGGATTTCTTCATTTCATGCTAGACAGAAGAATTCTCAGTAACTTCTTTGTGCTGTGTGTATTCAACTCACAGAGTGGAACGTCCCTTTGCACAGAGCAGATTTGAAACACTCTTTTTGTGGAGTTTGCAAGTGGAGATTTCAAGCGATTTGATGCCAACAGTAGAAAAGGAAATATCTTCAAATAAAAACTAGACAGAATCATTCTCAGAAACTACTTTGTGATGTGTGCCTTCAACTCACAGAGTTTAACCTTTCTTTTCTTAGAGCAGTTTAGAAACACTCTGCTTGTTATGTCTGCAAGTGGATATTTGGACCTCTTTGAGGCCTTCGTTGCAAACGGGGTTTCTTCCTTTCATGCTAGACTAAGAAGAGTTCTCAGTAACTTTTTTGTGTTGTGTGTATTCAACTCACAGAGTTGAACCTTGCTTTAGAGAGAGCAGATTTGAAACACTCTTGCTGTGGCATTTTCAGGTGGAGATTTCAAGCGATTTGAGGACAACTGCAGAAAAGGAAGTATCTTCGTATAATAACCAGACAGAATCATTCTCAGAAAGTGCTTTGTGATGTGTGCGTTCAACTCACAGAGTTTAACCTTTCTTTTCATAGAGGAGTTTGGAAACACACTGTTTGTAAAGTCTGCAATTGGATATATGGACCTGTTTGAGGCCTTCGTTGGAAACGGGATTTCTTCATTGAATGCTAGACGGAAGAATTCTCAGTAAATTCTTTGTGTTGTGTGCATTCAACTCACAGAGTGGAACGTCCCTTTAGACAGAGCAGATTTGAAACACTCTTTTTGCGGAATTTGCAAGTGGAGATTTCTAGCCATTTGATGCCAACAGTAGAAAGGGAAATATCTTCAAATAAAAACCAGACAGAATCATCCTCAGAAAATTCTTTGTGATGTGTGCGTTCAACTCACATAATTTAACCTTTCTTTTCATAGACCAGTTTGGAAACACTCTGTTGGTAATGTCTGCAAGTGGATATATGGACCGCATTGAGGACTTCGTTGGAAACGGGATTTCTTAATTTCATGCTAGACAGAAGAATTCTCAGTAACTTCTTTGTGTTGTGTGTATTCAACTGACAGATTGGAATGTCCCATTACACAGAGCAGTTTTGAAACACTCTTTTTGTGGAATTTAAAAGTGGAGAATTCAAGCGATTTGATGCCAAAAGTTGAAAAGGAAATATCTTCAAATAAAAACTAGACAGAATCATTCTCAGAAACTACTTTGTGATGTGTGCCTTCAACTCACAGAGTTTAACCTTTCTTTTCTTAGAGCAGTTTAGAAACACTCTGCTTGTTATGTCTGCAAGTGGATATTTGGACCTCTTTGAGGCCTTCGTTGCAAACGGGGTTTCTTCCTTTAATGCTAGACTAAGAAGAGTTCTCAGTAACTTTTTTGTGTTGTGTGTATTCAACTCACAGAGTTGAACCTTGCTTTAGAGAGAGCAGATTTGAAACACTCTTGCTGTGGCATTTTCAGGTGGAGATTTCAAGCGATTTGAGGACAATTGCAGAAAAGGAAATATCTTCGTATAACAACCAGACAGAATCATTCTCAGAAAGTGCTTTGTGATGTGTGCGTTCAACTCACAGAGTTTAACCTTTCTTTTCATAGAGGAGTTTGGAAACACACTGTTTGTAAAGTCTGCAAGTGGATATATGGACCTGTTTGAGGCCTTCGTTGGAAACGGGATTTCTTCATTGAATGCTAGACGGAAGAATTCTCAGTAAATTCTTTGTGTTGTGTGCATTCAACTCACAGAGTGGAACGTCCCTTTAGACAGAGCAGATTTGAAACACTCTTTTTGCGGAATTTGCAAGTGGAGATTTCTAGCCATTTGATGCCAACAGTAGAAAGGGAAATATCTTCAAATAAAAACCAGACAGAATCATTCTCAGAAAATTCTTTGTGATGTGTGCGTTCAACTCACATAGTTTAACCTTTCTTTTCATAGAGCAGTTTGGAAACACTCTGTTTGTAAAGTCTGCAAGTGGATATATGGACCGCATTGAGGCCTTCGTTGGAAACGGGATTTCTTCATTTCATGCTAGACAGAAGAATTCTCAGTAACTTCTTTGTGCTGTGTGTACTCAACTCACAGAGTGGAACGTCCCTTTGAACAGAGCAGATTTGAAACACTCTTTTTGTGGAGTTTGCAAGTGGAGATTTCAAGCGATTTGATGCCAACAGTAGAAAAGGAAATATCTTCAAATAAAAACTAGACAGAATCATTCTCAGAAACTACTTTGTGATGTCTGCCTTCAACTCACAGAGTTTAACCTTTCTTTTCTTAGAGCAGTTTAGAAACACTCTGCTTGTTATGTCTGCAAGTGGATATTTGGACCTCTTTGAGGCCTTCGTTGCAAACGGGGTTTCTTCCTTTCATGCTAGACTAAGAAGAGTTCTCAGTAACTTTTTTGTGTTGTGTGTATTCAACTCACAGAGTTGAACCTTGCTTTAGAGAGAGCAGATTTGAAACACTCTTGCTGTGGCATTTTCAGGTGGAGATTTCAAGCGATTTGAGGACAATTGCAGAAAAGGAAATATCTTCGTATAATAACCAGACAGAATCATTCTCAGAAAGTGCTTTGTGTTGTGTGCGTTCAACTCACAGAGTTTAACCTTTCTTTTCATAGAGGAGTTTGGAAACACACTGTTTGTAAAGTCTGCAATTGGATATATGGACCTGTTTGAGGCCTTCGTTGGAAACGGGATTTCTTCATTGAATGCTAGACGGAAGAATTCTCAGTAAATTCTTTGTGTGGTGTGCATTCAACTCACAGAGTGGAACGTCCCTTTAGACAGAGCAGATTTGAAACACTCTTTTTGCGGAATTTGCAAGTGGAGATTTCTAGCCATTTGATGCCAACAGTAGAAAGGGAAATATCTTCAAATAAAAACCAGACAGAATCATTCTCAGAAAATTCTTTGTGATGTGTGCGTTCAACTCACATAGTTTAACCTTTCTTTTCATAGAGCAGTTTGGAAACACTCTGTTTGTAAAGTCTGCAAGTGGATATATGGACCGCATTGAGGCCTTCGTTGGAAACGGGATTTCTTCATTTCATGCTAGACAGAAGAATTCTCAGTAACTTCTTTGTGCTGTGTGTATTCAACTCACAGAGTGGAACGTTCCTTTACACAGAGAAGATTTGAAACACTCTTTTTGTGGAATTTGCAAGTGGAGATTTCAAGCGATTTGATGCCAACAGTAGAAAAGGAAATATCTTCAAATAAAAACTAGACAGAATCATTCTCAGAAACTACTTTGTGATGTGTGCCTTCAACTCACAGAGTTTAACCTTTCTTTTCTTAGAGCAGTTTAGAAACACTCTGCTTGTTATGTCTGCAAGTGGATATTTGGACCTCTTTGAGGCCTTCGTTGCAAACGGGGTTTCTTCCTTTCATGCTAGACTAAGAAGAGTTCTCAGTAACTTTTTTGTGTTGTGTGTATTCAACTCACAGAGTTGAACCTTGCTTTAGAGAGAGCAGATTTGAAACACTCTTGCTGTGGCATTTTCAGGTGGAGATTTCAAGCGATTTGAGGACAATTGCAGAAAAGGAAATATCTTCGTATAATAACCAGACAGAATCATTCTCAGAAAGTGCTTTGTGATGTGTGCGTTCAACTCACAGAGTTTAACCTTTCTTTCCATAGAGGAGTTTGGAAACACACTGTTTGTAAAGTCTGCAATTGGATATATGGACCTGTTTGAGGCCTTCGTTGGAAACGGGATTTCTTCATTGAATGCTAGACGGAAGAATTCTCAGTAAATTCTTTGTGTTGTGTGCATTCAACTCACAGAGTGGAACGTCCCTTTAGACAGAGCAGATTTGAAACACTCTTTTTGCGGAATTTGCAAGTGGAGATTTCTAGCCATTTGATGCCAACAGTAGAAAGGGAAATATCTTCAAATAAAAACCAGACAGAATCATTCTCAGAAAATTCTTTGTGATGTGTGCGTTCAACTCACATAGTTTAACCTTTCTTTTCATAGAGCAGTTTGGAAACACTCTGTTTGTAAAGTCTGCAAGTGGATATATGGACCGCATTGAGGCCTTCGTTGGAAACGGGATTTCTTCATTTCATGCTAGACAGAAGAATTCTCAGTAACTTCTTTGTGCTGTGTGTATTCAACTCACAGAGTGGAACGTCCCTTTACACAGAGCAGATTTGAAACACTCTTTTTGTGGAGTTTGCAAGTGGAGATTTCAAGCGATTTGATGCCAACAGTAGAAAAGGAAATATCTTCAAATAAAAACTAGACAGAATCATTCTCAGAAACTACTTTGTGATGTGTGCCTTCAACTCACAGAGTTTAACCTTTCTTTTCTTAGAGCAGTTTAGAAACACTCTGCTTGTTATGTCTGCAAGTGGATATTTGGACCTCTTTGAGGCCTTCGTTGCAAACGGGGTTTCTTCCTTTCATGCTAGACTAAGAAGAGTTCTCAGTAACTTTTTTGTGTTGTGTGTATTCAACTCACAGAGTTGAACCTTGCTTTAGAGAGAGCAGATTTGAAACACTCTTGCTGTGGCATTTTCAGGTGGAGATTTCAAGCGATTTGAGGACAATTGCAGAAAAGGAAATATCTTCGTATAATAACCAGAGAGAATCATTCTCAGAAAGTGTTTTGTGATGTGTGCGTTCAACTCACAGAGTTTAACCTTTCTTTTCATAGAGGAGTTTGGAAACACACTGTTTGTAAAGTCTGCAATTGGATATATGGACCTGTTTGAGGCCTTCGTTGGAAACGGGATTTCTTCATTGAATGCTAGACGGAAGAATTCTCAGTAAATTCTTTGTGTTGTGTGCATTCAACTCACAGAGTGGAACGTCCCTTTAGACAGAGCAGATTTGAAACACTCTTTTTGCGGAATTTGCAAGTGGAGATTTCTAGCCATTTGATGCCAACAGTAGAAAGGGAAATATCTTCAAATAAAAACCAGACAGAATCATTCTCAGAAAATTCTTTGTGATGTGTGCGTTCAACTCACATAGTTTAACCTTTCTTTTCATAGAGCAGTTTGGAAACACTCTGTTTGTAAAGTCTGCAAGTGGATATATGGACCGCATTGAGGCCTTCGTTGGAAACGGGATTTCTTCATTTCATGCTAGACAGAAGAATTCTCAGTAACTTCTTTGTGCTGTGTGTATTCAACTCACAGAGTGGAACGTCCCTTTGCACAGAGCAGATTTGAAACACTCTTTTTGTGGAGTTTGCAAGTGGAGATTTCAAGCGATTTGATGCCAACAGTAGAAAAGGAAATATCTTCAAATAAAAACTAGACAGAATCATTCTCAGAAACTACTTTGTGATGTGTGCCTTCAACTCACAGAGTTTAACCTTTCTTTTCTTAGAGCAGTTTAGAAACACTCTGCTTGTTATGTCTGCAAGTGGATATTTGGACCTCTTTGAGGCCTTCGTTGCAAACGGGGTTTCTTCCTTTCATGCTAGACTAAGAAGAGTTCTCAGTAACTTTTTTGTGTTGTGTGTATTCAACTCACAGAGTTGAACCTTGCTTTAGAGAGAGCAGATTTGAAACACTCTTGCTGTGGCATTTTCAGGTGGAGATTTCAAGCGATTTGAGGACAATTGCAGAAAAGGAAATATCTTCGTATAATAACCAGACAGAATCATTCTCAGAAAGTGCTTTGTGATGTGTGCGTTCAACTCACAGAGTTTAACCTTTCTTTTCATAGAGGAGTTTGGAAACACACTGTTTGTAAAGTCTGCAATTGGATATATGGACCTGTTTGAGGCCTTCGTTGGAAACGGGATTTCTTCATTGCATGCTAGACGGAAGGATTCTCAGTAAATTCTTTGTGTTGTGTGCATTCAACTCACAGAGTGGAACGTCCCTTTAGACAGAGCAGATTTGAAACACTCTTTTTGCGGAATTTGCAAGTGGAGATATCTAGCCATTTGATGCCAACAGTAGAAAGGGAAATATCTTCAAATAAAAACCAGACAGAATCATTCTCAGAAAATTCTTTGTGATGTGTGCGTTCAACTCACATAGTTTAACCTTTCTTTTCATAGAGCAGTTTGGAAACACTCTGTTTGTAAAGTCTGCAAGTGGATATATGGACCGCATTGAGGCCTTCGTTGGAAACGGGATTTCTTCATTTCATGCTAGACAGAAGAATTCTCAGTAACTTCTTTGTGCTGTGTGTATTCAACTCACAGAGTGCAACGTCCCTTTACACAGAGCAGATTTGAAACACTCTTTTTGTGGAATTTGCAAGTGGAGATTTCAAGCGATATGATGCCAACAGTAGAAAAGGAAATATCTTCAAATAAAAACTAGACAGAATCATTTTCAGAAACTACTTTGTGATGTGTGCCTTCAACTCGCAGAGTTTAACCTTTCTTTTCTTAGAGCAGTTTAGAAACACTCTGCTTGTTATGTCTGCAAGTGGATATTTGGACCTCTTTGAGGCCTTCGGTTGCAAACGGGATTTCTTCCTTTAATGCTAGACTAAGAAGAGTTCTCAGTAACTTTTTTGTTGTTGTGTGTATTCAACTCACAGAGTTAAACCTTGCTTTAGAGAGAGCAGATTTGAAACACTCTTGCTGTGGCATTTTCAGGTGGAGATTTCAAGCGATTTGAGGACAATTGCACAAAAGGAAATATCTTCGTATAATAACCAGACAGAATCATTCTCAGGAAGTGCTTTGTGATGTGTGCGTTCAACTCACAAGAGTTTAACCTTTCTTTTCATAGAGGAGTTTGGAAACACACTGTTTGTAAAGTCTGCAAGTGGATATATGGACCTGTTTGAGGCCTTCGTTGGAAACGGGATTTCTTCATTGAATGCTAGACGGAAGAATTCTCAGTAAATTCTTTGTGTTGTGTGCATTCAACTCACAGAGTGGAACGTCCCTTTAGACAGAGCAGATTTGAAACACTCTTTTTGCGGAATTTGCAAGTGGAGATTTCTAGCCATTTGATGCCAACAGTAGAAAGGGAAATATCTTCAAATAAAAACCAGACAGAATCATTCTCAGAAAATTCTTTGTGATGTGTGCGTTCAACTCACATAGTTTAACCTTTCTTTTCATAGAGCAGTTTGGAAACATTCTGTTTGTAAAGTCTGCAACTGGATATATGGACCGCATTGAGGCCTTCGTTGTAAACGGGATTTCTTCATTTCATGCTAGACAGAAGAATTCTCAGTAACTTCTTTGTGCTGTGTGTATTCAACTCACAGAGTGGAACGTCCCTTTACACAGAGCAGATTTGAAACACACTTTGTGTGGAGTTTGCAAGTGGAGATTTCAAGCGATTTGATGCCAACAGTAGAAAAGGAAATATCTTCAAATAAAAACTAGACAGAATCATTCTCAGAAACTACTTTGTGATGTGTGCCTTCAACTCACAGAGTTTAACCTTTCTTTTCTTAGAGCAGTTTAGAAACACTCTGCTTCTTAAGTCTGCAACTGGATATTTGGACCTCTTTGAGGCCTTCGTTGCAAACGGGATTTCTTCCTTTAATGCTAGACTAAGAAGAGTTCTCAGTAACTTTTTTGTGTTGTGTGTATTCAACTCACAGAGTTGAACCTTGCTTTAGAGAGAGCAGATTTGAAACACTCTTGCTGTGGCATTTTCAGGTGGAGATTTCAAGCGATTTGAGGACAATTGCACAAAAGGAAATATCTTCGTATAATAACCAGACAGAATCATTCTCAGAAAGTGCTTTGTGATGTGTGCGTTCAACTCACAGAGTTTAACCTTTCTTTTCATAGAGGAGTTTGGAAACACACTGTTTGTAAAGTCTGCAATTGGATATATGGACCTGTTTGAGGCCTTCGTTGGAAACGGGATTTCTTCATTGCATGCTAGACGGAAGAATTCTCAGTAAATTCTTTGTGTTGTGTGCATTCAACTCACAGAGTGGAACGTCCCTTTAGACAGAGCAGATTTGAAACACTCTTTTTGCGGAATTTGCAAGTGGAGATTTCTAGCCATTTGATGCCAACAGTAGAAAGGGAAATATCTTCAAATAAAAACCAGACAGAATCATTCTCAGAAAATTCTTTGTGATGTGTGCGTTCAACTCACATAGTTTAACCTTTCTTTTCATAGAGCA
Source organism: Homo sapiens (assembly GCF_000001405.40). Lineage (NCBI taxonomy): Eukaryota > Metazoa > Chordata > Mammalia > Primates > Hominidae > Homo > Homo sapiens. The sequence continues at coordinate 60,651,655 of NC_000007.14, forward strand.
GTTTGGAAACACTCTGTTTGTAAAGTCTGCTAGTGGATATATGGACCGCATTGAGGCCTTCGTTGGAAACGGGATTTCTTCATTTCATGCTAGACAGAAGAATTCTCAGTAACTTCTTTGTGCTGTGTGTATTCAACTCACAGAGTGGAACGTCCCTTTGCACAGAGCAGATTTGAAACACTCTTTTTGTGGAGTTTGCAAGTGGAGATTTCAAGCGATTTGATGCCAACAGTAGAAAAGGAAATATCTTCAAATAAAAACTAGACAGAATCATTCTCAGAAACTACTTTGTGATGTGTGCCTTCAACTCACAGAGTTTAACCTTTCTTTTCATAGAGCAGTTTAGAAACACTCTGCTTGTTATGTCTGCAAGTGGATATTTGGACCTCTTTGAGGCCTTCGTTGCAAACGGGGTTTCTTCCTTTCATGCTAGACTAAGAAGAGTTCTCAGTAACTTTTTTGTGTTGTGTGTATTCAACTCACAGAGCTGAACCTTGCTTTAGAGAGAGCAGATTTGAAACACTCTTGCTGTGGCATTTTCAGGTGGAGATTTCAAGCGATTTGAGGACAATTGCAGAAAAGGAAATATCTTCGTATAACAACCAGACAGAATCATTCTCAGAAAGTGCTTTGTGATGTGTGCGTTCAACTCACAGAGTTTAACTTTTCTTTCCATAGAGGAGTTTGGAAACACACTGTTTGTAAAGTCTGCAAGTGGATATATGGACCTGTTTGAGGCCTTCGTTGGAAACGGGATTTCTTCATTGAATGCTAGACGGAAGAATTCTCAGTAAATTCTTTGTGTTGTGTGCATTCAACTCACAGAGTGGAACGTCCCTTTAGACAGAGCAGATTTGAAACACTCTTTTTGCGGAATTTGCAAGTGGAGATTTCTAGCCATTTGATGCCAACAGTAGAAAGGGAAATATCTTCAAATAAAAACCAGACAGAATCATTCTCAGAAAATTCTTTGTGATGTGTGCGTTCAACTCACATAGTTTAACCTTTCTTTTCATAGAGCAGTTTGGAAACACTCTGTTTGTAAAGTCTGCAAGTGGATATATGGACCGCATTGAGGCCTTCGTTGGAAACGGGATTTCTTCATTTCATGCTAGACAGAAGAATTCTCAGTAACTTCTTTGTGCTGTGTGTATTCAACTCACAGAGTGGAACGTCCCTTTGCACAGAGCAGATTTGAAACACTCTTTTTGTGGAATTTGCAAGTGGAGATTTCAAGCGATTTGATGCCAACAGTAGAAAAGGAAATATCTTCAAATAAAAACTAGACAGAATCATTCTCAGAAACTACTTTGTGATGTGTGCCTTCAACTCACAGAGTTTAACCTTTCTTTTCTTAGAGCAGTTTAGAAACACTCTGCTTGTTATGTCTGCAAGTGGATATTTGGACCTCTTTGAGGCCTTCGTTGCAAACGGGGTTTCTTCCTTTCATGCTAGACTAAGAAGAGTTCTCAGTAACTTTTTTGTGTTGTGTGTATTCAACTCACAGAGCTGAACCTTGCTTTAGAGAGAGCAGATTTGAAACACTCTTGCTGTGGCATTTTCAGGTGGAGATTTCAAGCGATTTGAGGACAATTGCAGAAAAGGAAATATCTTCGTATAACAACCAGACAGAATCATTCTCAGAAAGTGCTTTGTGATGTGTGCGTTCAACTCACAGAGTTTAACCTTTCTTTTCATAGAGGAGTTTGGAAACACACTGTTTGTAAAGTCTGCAATTGGATATATGGACCTGTTTGAGGCCTTCGTTGGAAACGGGATTTCTTCATTGAATGCTAGACGGAAGAATTCTCAGTAAATTCTTTGTGTTGTGTGCATTCAACTCACAGAGTGGAACGTCCCTTTAGACAGAGCAGATTTGAAACACTCTTTTTGCGGAATTTGCAAGTGGAGATTTCTAGCCATTTGATGCCAACAGTAGAAAGGGAAATATCTTCAAATAAAAACCAGACAGAATCATTCTCAGAAAATTCTTTGTGATGTGTGCGTTCAACTCACATAGTTTAACCTTTCTTTTCATAGAGCAGTTTGGAAACACTCTGTTTGTAAAGTCTGCAAGTGGATATATGGACCGCATTGAGGCCTTCGTTGGAAACGGGATTTCTTCATTTCATGCTAGACAGAAGAATTCTCAGTAACTTCTTTGTGCTGTGTGTATTCAACTCACAGAGTGGAACGTCCCTTTGCACAGAGCAGATTTGAAACACTCTTTTTGTGGAATTTGCAAGTGGAGATTTCAAGCGATTTGATGCCAACAGTAGAAAAGGAAATATCTTCAAATAAAAACTAGACAGAATCATTCTCAGAAACTACTTTGTGATGTGTGCCTTCAACTCACAGAGTTTAACCTTTCTTTTCTTAGAGCAGTTTAGAAACACTCTGCTTGTTATGTCTGCAAGTGGATATTTGGACCTCTTTGAGGCCTTCGTTGCAAACGGGGTTTCTTCCTTTCATGCTAGACTAAGAAGAGTTCTCAGTAACTTTTTTGTGTTGTGTGTATTCAACTCACAGAGTTGAACCTTGCTTTAGAGAGAGCAGATTTGAAACACTCTTGCTGTGGCATTTTCAGGTGGAGATTTCAAGCGATTTGAGGACAATTGCAGAAAAGGAAATATCTTCGTATAACAACCAGACAGAATCATTCTCAGAAAGTGCTTTGTGATGTGTGCGTTCAACTCACAGAGTTTAACCTTTCTTTTCATAGAGGAGTTTGGAAACACACTGTTTGTAAAGTCTGCAATTGGATATATGGACCTGTTTGAGGCCTTCGTTGGAAACGGGATTTCTTCATTGAATGCTAGGCGGAAGAATTCTCAGTAAATTCTTTGTGTGGTGTGCATTCAACTCACAGAGTGGAACGTCCCTTTAGACAGAGCAGATTTGAAACACTCTTTTTGCGGAATTTGCAAGTGGAGATTTCTAGCCATTTGATGCCAACAGTAGAAAGGGAAATATCTTCAAATAAAAACCAGACAGAATCATTCTCAGAAAATTCTTTGTGATGTGTGCGTTCAACTCACATAGTTTAACCTTTCTTTTCATAGAGCAGTTTGGAAACACTCTGTTTGTAAAGTCTGCAAGTGGATATATGGACCGCATTGAGGCCTTCGTTGGAAACGGGATTTCTTCATTTCATGCTAGACAGAAGAATTCTCAGTAACTTCTTTGTGCTGTGTGTATTCAACTCACAGAGTGGAACGTCCCTTTGCACAGAGCAGATTTGAAACACTCTTTTTGTGGAGTTTGCAAGTGGAGATTTCAAGCGATTTGATGCCAACAGTAGAAAAGGAAATATCTTCAAATAAAAACTAGACAGAATCATTCTCAGAAACTACTTTGTGATGTGTGCCTTCAACTCACAGAGTTTAACCTTTCTTTTCTTAGAGCAGTTTAGAAACACTCTGCTTGTTATGTCTGCAAGTGGATATTTGGACCTCTTTGAGGCCTTCGTTGCAAACGGGGTTTCTTCCTTTCATGCTAGACTAAGAAGAGTTCTCAGTAACTTTTTTGTGTTGTGTGTATTCAACTCACAGAGTTGAACCTTGCTTTAGAGAGAGCAGATTTGAAACACTCTTGCTGTGGCATTTTCAGGTGGAGATTTCAAGCGTTTTGAGGACAATTGCAGAAAAGGAAATATCTTCGTATAATAACCAGACAGAATCATTCTCAGAAAGTGCTTTGTGATGTGTGCTGTTCAACTCACAGAGTTTAACCATTCTTTTCATAGAGGAGCTTGGAAACACACTGTTTGTAAAGTCTGCAATTGGATATATGGACCTGTTTGAGGCCTCCGTTGGAAACTGGGATTTCTTCATTGAATGCTAGACGGAAGAATTCTCAGTAAATTCTTTGTGTTGTGTGCATTCAACTCACAGTAGTGGAACGTCCCTTTAGACAGAGCAGATTTGAAACACTCTTTTTGCGGAATTTGCAAGTGGAGATTTCTAGCCATTTGATGCCAACAGTAGAAAGGGAAATATCTTCAAATAAAAACCAGACAGAATCATTCTCAGTAAATTCTTTGTGATGTGTGCGTTCAACTCACATAGTTTAACCTTTCTTTTCATAGAGCAGTTTGGAAACACTCTGTTTGTAAAGTCTGCAAGTGGATATATGGACCGCATTGAGGCCTTCGTTGGAAACGGGATTTCTTCATTTCATGCTAGACAGAAGAATTCTCAGTAACTTCTTTGTGCTGTGTGTATTCAACTCACAGAGTGGAACGTCCCTTTACACAGAGCAGATTTGAAACACTCTTTTTGTGGAGTTTGCAAGTGGAGATTTCAAGCGATTTGATGCCAACAGTAGAAAAGGAAATATCTTCAAATAAAAACTAGACAGAATCATTCTCAGAAACTACTTTGTGATGTGTGCCTTCAACTCACAGAGTTTAACCTTTCTTTTCTTAGAGCAGTTTAGAAACACTCTGCTTGTTATGTCTGCAAGTGGATATTTGGACCTCTTTGAGGCCTTCGTTGCAAACGGGGTTTCTTCCTTTCATGCTAGACTAAGAAGAGTTCTCAGTAACTTTTTTGTGTTGTGTGTATTCAACTCACAGAGTTGAACCTTGCTTTAGAGAGAGCAGATTTGAAACACTCTTGCTGTGGCATTTTCAGGTGGAGATTTCAAGCGATTTGAGGACAATTGCAGAAAAGGAAATATCTTCGTATAACAACCAGACAGAATCATTCTCAGAAAGTGCTTTGTGATGTGTGCGTTCAACTCACAGAGTTTAACCTTTCTTTTCATAGAGGAGTTTGGAAACACACTGTTTGTAAAGTCTGCAATTGGATATATGGACCTGTTTGAGGCCTGCGTTGGAAACGGGATTTCTTCATTGAATGCTAGACGGAAGAATTCTCAGTAAATTCTTTGTGTTGTGTGCATTCAACTCACAGAGTGGAACGTCCCTTTAGACAGAGCAGATTTGAAACACTCTTTTTGCGGAATTTGCAAGTGGAGATTTCTAGCCATTTGATGCCAACAGTAGAAAGGGAAATATCTTCAAATAAAAACCAGACAGAATCATTCTCAGAAAATTCTTTGTGATGTGTGCGTTCAACTCACATAGTTTAACCTTTCTTTTCATAGAGCAGTTTGGAAACACTCTGTTTGTAAAGTCTGCAAGTGGATATATGGACCGCATTGAGGCCTTCGTTGGAAACGGGATTTCTTCATTTCATGCTAGACAGAAGAATTCTCAGTAACTTCTTTGTGCTGTGTGTATTCAACTCACAGAGTGGAACGTCCCTTTGCACAGAGCAGATTTGAAACACTCTTTTTGTGGAGTTTGCAAGTGGAGATTTCAAGCGATTTGATGCCAACAGTAGAAAAGGAAATATCTTCAAATAAAAACTAGACAGAATCATTCTCAGAAACTACTTTGTGATGTGTGCCTTCAACTCACAGAGTTTAACCTTTCTTTTCTTAGAGCAGTTTAGAAACACTCTGCTTGTTATGTCTGCAAGTGGATATTTGGACCTCTTTGAGGCCTTCGTTGCAAACGGGGTTTCTTCCTTTCATGCTAGACTAAGAAGAGTTCTCAGTAACTTTTTTGTGTTGTGTGTATTCAACTCACAGAGTTGAACCTTGCTTTAGAGAGAGCAGATTTGAAACACTCTTGCTGTGGCATTTTCAGGTGGAGATTTCAAGCGATTTGAGGACAATTACAGAAAAGGAAATATCTTCGTATAACAACCAGACAGAATCATTCTCAGAAAGTGCTTTGTGATGTGTGCGTTCCACTCACAGAGTTTAACCTTTCTTTTCATAGAGGAGTTTGGAAACACACTGTTTGTAAAGTCTGCAAGTGGATATATGGACCTGTTTGAGGCCTTCGTTGGAAACGGGATTTCTTCATTGAATGCTAGACGGAAGAATTCTCAGTAAATTCTTTGTGTTGTGTGCATTCAACTCACAGAGTGGAACGTCCCTTTAGACAGAGCAGATTTGAAACACTCTTTTTGCGGAATTTGCAAGTGGAGATTTCTAGCCATTTGATGCCAACAGTAGAAAGGGAAATATCTTCAAATAAAAACCAGACAGAATCATTCTCAGAAAATTCTTTGTGATGTGTGCGTTCAACTCACATAGTTTAACCTTTCTTTTCATAGAGCAGTTTGGAAACACTCTGTTTGTAAAGTCTGCAAGTGGATATATGGACCGCATTGAGGCCTTCGTTGGAAACGGGATTTCTTCATTTCATGCTAGACAGAAGAATTCTCAGTAACTTCTTTGTGCTGTGTGTATTCAACTCACAGAGTGGAACGTCCCTTTGCACAGAGCAGATTTGAAACACTCTTTTTGTGGAGTTTGCAAGTGGAGATTTCAAGCGATTTGATGCCAACAGTAGAAAAGGAAATATCTTCAAATAAAAACTAGACAGAATCATTCTCAGAAACTACTTTGTGATGTGTGCCTTCAACTCACAGAGTTTAACCTTTCTTTTCTTAGAGCAGTTTAGAAACACTCTGCTTGTTATGTCTGCAAGTGGATATTTGGACCTCTTTGAGGCCTTCGTTGCAAACGGGGTTTCTTCCTTTCATGCTAGACTAAGAAGAATTCTCAGTAACTTCTTTGTGCTGTGTGTATTCAACTCACAGAGTTGAACCTTGCTTTAGAGAGAGCAGATTTGAAACACTCTTGCTGTGGCATTTTCAGGTGGAGATTTCAAGCGATTTGAGGAAAATTGCAGAAAAGGGAATATCTTCGTATAATAACCAGACAGAATCATTCTCAGAAAGTGCTTTGTGATGTGTGCGTTCAACTCACAGAGTTTAACCTTTCTTTTCATAGAGGAGTTTGGAAACACACTGTTTGTAAAGTCTGCAATTGGATATATGGACCTGTTTGAGGCCTTCGTTGGAAACGGGATTTCTTCATTGAATGCTAGACGGAAGAATTCTCAGTAAATTCTTTGTGTTGTGTGCATTCAACTCACAGAGTGGAACGTCCCTTTAGACAGAGCAGATTTGAAACACTCTTTTTGCGGAATTTGCAAGTGGAGATTTCTAGCCATTTGATGCCAACAGTAGAAAGGGAAATATCTTCAAATAAAAACCAGACAGAATCATTCTCAGAAAATTCTTTGTGATGTGTGCGTTCAACTCACATAGTTTAACCTTTCTTTTCATAGAGCAGTTTGGAAACACTCTGTTTGTAAAGTCTGCAAGTGGATATATGGACCGCATTGAGGCCTTCGTTGGAAACGGGATTTCTTCATTTCATGCTAGACAGAAGAATTCTCAGTAACTTCTTTGTGCTGTGTGTATTCAACTCACAGAGTGGAACGTCCCTTTACACAGAGCAGATTTGAAACACTCTTTTTGTGGAGTTTGCAAGTGGAGATTTCAAGCGATTTGATGCCAACAGTAGAAAAGGAAATATCTTCAAATAAAAACTAGACAGAATCATTCTCAGAAACTACTTTGTGATGTGTGCCTTCAACTCACAGAGTTTAACCTTTCTTTTCTTAGAGCAGTTTAGAAACACTCTGCTTGTTATGTCTGCAAGTGGATATTTGGACCTCTTTGAGGCCTTCGTTGCAAACGGGGTTTCTTCCTTTCATGCTAGACTAAGAAGAGTTCTCAGTAACTTTTTTGTGTTGTGTGTATTCAACTCACAGAGTTGAACCTTGCTTTAGAGAGAGCAGATTTGAAACACTCTTGCTGTGGCATTTTCAGGTGGAGATTTCAAGCGATTTGAGGACAATTGCAGAAAAGGAAATATCTTCGTATAACAACCAGACAGAATCATTCTCAGAAAGTGCTTTGTGATGTGTGCGTTCCACTCACAGAGTTTAACCTTTCTTTTCATAGAGGAGTTTGGAAACACACTGTTTGTAAAGTCTGCAAGTGGATATATGGACCTGTTTGAGGCCTTCGTTGGAAACGGGATTTCTTCATTGAATGCTAGACGGAAGAATTCTCAGTAAATTCTTTGTGTTGTGTGCATTCAACTCACAGAGTGGAACGTCCCTTTAGACAGAGCAGATTTGAAACACTCTTTTTGCGGAATTTGCAAGTGGAGATTTCTAGCCATTTGATGCCAACAGTAGAAAGGGAAATATCTTCAAATAAAAACCAGACAGAATCATTCTCAGAAAATTCTTTGTGATGTGTGCGTTCAACTCACATAGTTTAACCTTTCTTTTCATAGAGCAGTTTGGAAACACTCTGTTTGTAAAGTCTGCAAGTGGATATATGGACCGCATTGAGGCCTTCGTTGGAAACGGGATTTCTGCATTTCATGCTAGACAGAAGAATTCTCAGTAACTTCTTTGTGCTGTGTGTATTCAACTCACAGAGTGGAACGTCCCTTTGCACAGAGCAGATTTGAAACACTCTTTTTGTGGAATTTGCAAGTGGAGATTTCAAGCGATTTGATGCCACCAGTAGAAAAGGAAATATCTTCAAATAAAAACTAGACAGAATCATTCTCAGAAACTACTTTGTGATGTGTGCCTTCAACTCACAGAGTTTAACCTTTCTTTTCTTAGAGCAGTTTAGAAACACTCTGCTTGTTATGTCTGCAAGTGGATATTTGGACCTCTTTGAGGCCTTCGTTGCAAACGGGGTTTCTTCCTTTCATGCTAGACTAAGAAGAGTTCTCAGTAACTTTTTTGTGTTGTGTGTATTCAACTCACAGAGTTGAACCTTGCTTTAGAGAGAGCAGATTTGAAACACTCTTGCTGTGGCATTTTCAGGTGGAGATTTCAAGCGATTTGAGGACAATTGCAGAAAAGGAAATATCTTCGTATAATAACCAGACAGAATCATTCTCAGAAAGTGCTTTGTGATGTGTGCGTTCAACTCACAGAGTTTAACCTTTCTTTTCATAGAGGAGTTTGGAAACACACTGTTTGTAAAGTCTGCAATTGGATATATGGACCTGTTTGAGGCCTTCTTTGGAAAAGGGATTTCTTCATTGAATGCTAGACGGAAGAATTCTCAGTAAATTCTTTGTGTTGTGTGCATTCAACTCACAGAGTGGAACGTCCCTTTAGACAGAGCAGATTTGAAACACTCTTTTTGCGGAATTTGCAAGTGGAGATTTCTAGCCATTTGATGCCAACAGTAGAAAGGGAAATATCTTCAAATAAAAACCAGACAGAATCATTCTCAGAAAATTCTTTGTGATGTGTGCGTTCAACTCACATAGTTTAACCTTTCTTTTCATAGAGCAGTTTGGAAACACTCTGTTTGTAAAGTCTGCAAGTGGATATATGGACCGCATTGAGGCCTTCGTTGGAAACGGGATTTCTTCATTTCATGCTAGACAGAAGAATTCTCAGTAACTTCTTTGTGCTGTGTGTATTCAACTCACAGAGTGGAACGTCCCTTTACACAGAGCAGATTTGAAACACTCTTTTTGCGGAATTTGCAAGTGGAGATTTCTAGCCATTTGATGCCAACAGTAGAAAGGGAAATATCTTCAAATAAAAACTAGACAGAATCATTCTCAGAAACTACTTTGTTATGTGTGCCTTCAACTCACAGAGTTTAACCTTTCTTTTCTTAGAGCAGTTTAGAAACACTCTGCTTGTTATGTCTGCAAGTGGATATTTGGACCTCTTTGAGGCCTTCGTTGCAAACGGGGTTTCTTCCCTTTAATGCTAGACTAATGAAGAGTTCTCAGTAACTTTTTTGTGTTGTGTCTATTCAACTCACAGAGTTGAACCTTGCTTTAGAGAGAGCAGATTTGAAACACTCTTGCTGTGGCATTTTCAGGTGGAGATTTCAAGCGATTTGAGGACAATTGCAGAAAAGGAAATATCTTCGTAAAATAACCAGACAGAATCATTCTCAGAAAGTGCTTTGTGATGTGTGCGTTCAACTCACAGAGTTTAACCTTTCTTTTCATAGAGGAGTTTGGAAACACACTGTTTGTAAAGTCTGCAATTGGATATATGGACCTGTTTGAGGCCTTCGTTGGAAACGGGATTTCTTCATTGAATGCTAGACGGAAGAATTCTCAGTAAATTCTTCGTGTTGTGTGCATTCAACTCACAGAGTGGAACGTCCCTTTAGACAGAGCAGATTTGAAACACTCTTTTTGCGGAATTTGCAAGTGGAGATTTCTAGCCATTTGATGCCAACAGTAGAAAGGGAAATATCTTCAAATAAAAACCAGACAGAATCATTCTCAGAAAATTCTTTGTGATGTGTGCGTTCAACTCACATAGTTTAACCTTTCTTTTCATAGAGCAGTTTGGAAACACTCTGTTTGTAAAGTCTGCAAGTGGATCTATGGACCGCATTGAGGCCTTCGTTGGAAACGGGATTTCTTCATTTCATGCTAGACAGAAGAATTCTCAGTAACTTCTTTGTGCTGTGTGTATTCAACTCACAGAGTGGAACGTCCCTTTGCACAGAGCAGATTTGAAACACTCTTTTTGTGGAGTTTGCAAGTGGAGATTTCAAGCGATTTGATGCCAACAGTAGAAAAGGAAATATCTTCAAATAAAAACTAGACAGAATCATTCTCAAAAACTACTTTGTGATGTGTGCCTTCAACTCACAGAGTTTAACCTTTCTTTTCTTAGAGCAGTTTAGAAACACTCTGCTTGTTATGTCTGCAAGTGGATATTTGGACCTCTTTGAGGCCTTCGTTGCAAACGGGGTTTCTTCCTTTCATGCTAGACTAAGAAGAGTTCTCAGTAACTTTTTTGTGTTGTGTGTATTCAACTTACAGAGTTGAACCTTGCTTTAGAGAGAGCAGATTTGAAACACTCTTGCTGTGGCATTTTCAGGTGGAGATTTCAAGCGATTTGAGGACAATTGCAGAAAAGGAAATATCTTCGTATAATAACCAGACAGAATCATTCTCAGAAAGTGCTTTGTGATGTGTGCGTTCAACTCACAGAGTTTAACATTTCTTTTCATAGAGGAGTTTGGAAACACACTGTTTGTAAAGTCTGCAAGTGGATATATGGACCTCTTTGAGGCCTTCGTTGGAAACGGGATTTCTTCATTGAATGCTAGACGGAAGAATTCTCAGTAAATTCTTTGTGTTGTGTGCATTCAACTCACAGAGTGGAACGTCCCTTTAGACAGAGCAGATTTGAAACACTCTTTTTGCGGAATTTGCAAGTGGAGATTTCTAGCCATTTGATGCCAACAGTAGAAAGGGAAATATCTTCAAATAAAAACCAGACAGAATCATTCTCAGAAAATTCTTTGTGATGTGTGCGTTCAACTCACATAGTTTAACCTTTCTTTTCATAGAGCAGTTTGGAAACACTCTGTTTGTAAAGTCTGCAAGTGGATATATGGACCGCATTGAGGCCTTCGTTGGAAACGAGATTTCTTCATTTCATGCTAGACAGAAGAATTCTCAGTAACTTCTTTGTGCTGTGTGTATTCAACTCACAGAGTGGAACGTCCCTTTGCACAGAGCAGATTTGAAACACTCTTTTTGTGGAGTTTGCAAGTGGAGATTTCAAGCGATTTGATGCCAACAGTAGAAAAGGAAATATCTTCAAATAAAAACTAGACAGAATCATTCTCAGAAACTACTTTGTGATGTGTGCCTTCAACTCACAGAGTTTAACCTTTCTTTTCTTAGAGCAGTTTAGAAACACTCTGCTTGTTATGTCTGCAAGTGGATATTTGGACCTCTTTGAGGCCTTCGTTGCAAACGGGGTTTCTTCCTTTCATGCTAGACTAAGAAGAGTTCTCAGTAACTTTTTTGTGTTGTGTGTATTCAACTCACAGAGTTGAACCTTGCTTTAGAGAGAGCAGATTTGAAACACTCTTGCTGTGGCATTTTCAGGTGGAGATTTCAAGCGATTTGAGGACAATTGCAGAAAAGGAAATATCTTCGTATAATAACCAGACAGAATCATTCTCAGAAAGTGCTTTGTGATGTGTGCGTTCAACTCACAGAGTTTAACCTTTCTTTTCATAGAGGAGTTTGGAAACACACTGTTTGTAAAGTCTGCAATTGGATATATGGACCTGTTTGAGGCCTTCGTTGGAAACGGGATTTCTTCATTGAATGCTAGACGGAAGAATTCTCAGTAAATTCTTTGTGTTGTGTGCATTCAACTCACAGAGTGGAACGTCCCTTTAGACAGAGCAGATTTGAAACACTCTTTTTGCGGAATTTGCAAGTGGAGATTTCTAGCCATTTGATGCCAACAGTAGAAAGGGAAATATCTTCAAATAAAAACCAGACAGAATCATTCTCAGAAAATTCTTTGTGATGTGTGCGTTCAACTCACATAGTTTAACCTTTCTTTTCATAGAGCAGTTTGGAAACACTCTGTTTGTAAAGTCTGCAAGTGGATATATGGACCGCAATGAGGCCTTCGTTGGAAACGGGATTTCTTCATTTCATGCTAGACAGAAGAATTCTCAGTAACTTCTTTGTGCTGTGTGTATTCAACTCACAGAGTGGAACGTCCCTTTACACAGAGCAGATTTGAAACACTCTTTTTGTGGAGTTTGCAAGTGGAGATTTCAAGCGATTTGATGCCAACAGTAGAAAAGGAAATATCTTCAAATAAAAACTAGACAGAATCATTCTCAGAAACTACTTTGTGATGTGTGCCTTCAACTCACAGAGTTTAACCTTTCTTTTCTTAGAGCAGTTTAGAAACACTCTGCTTGTTATGTCTGCAAGTGGATATTTGGACCTCTTTGAGGCCTTCGTTGCAAACGGGGTTTCTTCCTTTCATGCTAGACTAAGAAGAGTTCTCAGTAACTTTTTTGTGTTGTGTGTATTCAACTCACAGAGTTGAACCTTGCTTTAGAGAGAGCAGATTTGAAACACTCTTGCTGTGGCATTTTCAGGTGGAGATTTCAAGCGATTTGAGGACAATTGCAGAAAAGGAAATATCTTCGTATAACAACCAGACAGAATCATTCTCAGAAAGTGCTTTGTGATGTGTGCGTTCAACTCACAGAGTTTAACCTTTCTTTTCATAGAGGAGTTTGGAAACACACTGTTTGTAAAGTCTGCAATTGGATATATGGACCTGTTTGAGGCCTTCGTTGGAAACGGGATTTCTTCATTGCATGCTAGACGGAAGAATTCTCAGTAAATTCTTTGTGGTGTGTGCATTCAACTCACAGAGTGGAACGTCCCTTTAGACAGAGCAGATTTGAAACACTCTTTTTGCGGAATTTGCAAGTGGAGATTTCTAGCCATTTGATGCCAACAGTAGAAAGGGAAATATCTTCAAATAAAAACCAGACAGAATCATTCTCAGAAAATTCTTTGTGATGTGTGCGTTCAACTCACATAGTTTAACCTTTCTTTTCATAGAGCAGTTTGGAAACACTCTGTTTGTAAAGTCTGCAAGTGGATATATGGACCGCATTGAGGCCTTCGTTGGAAACGGGATTTCTTCATTTCATGCTAGACAGAAGAATTCTCAGTAACTTCTTTGTGCTGTGTGTATTCAACTCACAGAGTGGAACGTCCCTTTACACAGAGCAGATTTGAAACACTCTTTTTGTGGAGTTTGCAAGTGGAGATTTCAAGCGATTTGATGCCAACAGTAGAAAAGGAAATATCTTCAAATAAAAACTAGACAGAATCATTCTCAGAAACTACTTTGTGATGTGTGCCTTCAACTCACAGAGTTTAACCTTTCTTTTCTTAGAGCAGTTTAGAAACACTCTGCTTGTTATGTCTGCAAGTGGATATTTGGACCTCTTTGAGGCCTTCGTTGCAAACGGGGTTTCTTCCTTTCATGCTAGACTAAGAAGAGTTCTCAGTAACTTTTTTGTGTTGTGTGTATTCAACTCACAGAGTTGAACCTTGCTTTAGAGAGAGCAGATTTGAAACACTCTTGCTGTGGCATTTTCAGGTGGAGATTTCAAGCGATTTGAGGACAATTGCAGAAAAGGAAATATCTTCGTATAATAACCAGACAGAATCATTCTCAGAAAGTGCTTTGTGATGTGTGCGTTCAACTCACAGTAGTTTAACCTTTCTTTTCATAGAGGAGTTTGGAAACACACTGTTTGTAAAGTCTGCAATTGGATATATGGACCTGTTTGAGGCCTTCGTTGGAAACGGGATTTCTTCATTGAATGCTAGACGGAAGAATTCTCAGTAAATTCTTTGTGTTGTGTGCATTCAACTGACAGAGTGGAACGTCCCTTTAGACAGAGCAGATTTGAAACACTCTTTTTGCGGAATTTGCAAGTGGAGATTTCTAGCCATTTGATGCCAACAGTAGAAAGGGAAATATCTTCAAATAAAAACCAGACAGAATCATTCTCAGAAAATTCTTTGTGATGTGTGCGTTCAACTCACATAGTTTAACCTTTCTTTTCATAGAGCAGTTTGGAAACACTCTGTTTGTAAAGTCTGCAAGTGGATATATGGACCGCATTGAGGCCTTCGTTGGAAACGGGATTTCTTCATTTCATGCTAGACAGAAGAATTCTCAGTAACTTCTTTGTGCTGTGTGTATTCAACTCACAGAGTGGAACGTCCCTTTGCACAGAGCAGATTTGAAACACTCTTTTTGTGGAATTTGCAAGTGGAGATTTCAAGCGATTTGATGCCAACAGTAGAAAAGGAAATATCTTCAAATAAAAACTAGACAGAATCATTCTCAGAAACTACTTTGTGATGTGTGCCTTCAACTCACAGAGTTTAACCTTTCTTTTCTTAGAGCAGTTTAGAAACACTCTGCTTGTTATGTCTGCAAGTGGATATTTGGACCTCTTTGAGGCCTTCGTTGCAAACGGGGTTTCTTCCTTTCATGCTAGACTAAGAAGAGTTCTCAGTAACTTTTTTGTGTTGTGTGTATTCAACTCACAGAGTTGAACCTTGCTTTAGAGAGAGCAGATTTGAAACACTCTTGCTGTGGCATTTTCAGGTGGAGATTTCAAGCGATTTGAGGACAATTGCAGAAAAGGAAATATCTTCGTATAATAACCAGACAGAATCATTCTCAGAAAGTGCTTTGTGATGTGTGCGTTCAACTCACAGAGTTTAACCTTTCTTTTCATAGAGGAGTTTGGAAACACACAGTTTGTAAAGTCTGCAATTGGATATATGGACCTGTTTGAGGCCTTCGTTGGAAACGGGATTTCTTCATTGAATGCTAGACGGAAGAAATCTCAGTAAATTCTTTGTGTTGTGTGCATTCAACTCACAGAGTGGAACGTCCCTTTAGACAGAGCAGATTTGAAACACTCTTTTTGCGGAATTTGCAAGTGGAGATTTCTAGCCATTTGATGCCAACAGTAGAAAGGGAAATATCTTCAAATAAAAACCAGACAGAATCATTCTCAGAAAATTCTTTGTGATGTGTGCGTTCAACTCACATAGTTTAACCTTTCTTTTCATAGAGCAGTTTGGAAACACTCTGTTTGTAAAGTCTGCAAGTGGATATATGGACCGCATTGAGGCCTTCGTTGGAAACGGGATTTCTTCATTTCATGCTAGACAGAAGAATTCTCAGTAACTTCTTTGTGCTGTGTGTATTCAACTCACAGAGTGGAACGTCCCTTTGCACAGAGCAGATTTGAAACACTCTTTTTGTGGAATTTGCAAGTGGAGATTTCAAGCGATTTGATGCCAACAGTAGAAAAGGAAATATCTTCAAATAAAAACTAGACAGAATCATTCTCAGAAACTACTTTGTGATGTGTGCCTTCAACTCACAGAGTTTAACCTTTCTTTTCTTAGAGCAGTTTAGAAACACTCTGCTTGTTATGTCTGCAAGTGGATATTTGGACCTCTTTGAGGCCTTCGTTGCAAACGGGGTTTCTTCCTTTCATGCTAGACTAAGAAGAGTTCTCAGTAACTTTTTTGTGTTGTGTGTATTCAACTCACAGAGTTGAACCTTGCTTTAGAGAGAGCAGATTTGAAACACTCTTGCTGTGGCATTTTCAGGTGGAGATTTCAAGCGATTTGAGGACAATTGCAGAAAAGGAAATATCTTCGTATAACAACCAGACAGAATCATTCTCAGAAAGTGCTTTGTGATGTGTGCGTTCCACTCACAGAGTTTAACCTTTCTTTTCATAGAGGAGTTTGGAAACACACTGTTTGTAAACTCTGCAAGTGGATATATGGACCTGTTTGAGGCCTTCGTTGGAAACGGGATTTCTTCATTGAATGCTAGACGGAAGAATTCTCAGTAAATTCTTTGTGTTGTGTGCATTCAACTCACAGAGTGGAACGTCCCTTTAGACAGAGCAGATTTGAAACACTCTTTTGCGGAATTTGCAAGTGGAGATTTCTAGCCATTTGATGCCAACAGTAGAAAGGGAAATATCTTCAAATAAAAACCAGACAGAATCATTCTCAGAAAATTCTTTGTGATGTGTGCGTTCAACTCACATAGTTTAACCTTTCTTTTCATAGAGCAGTTTGGAAACACTCTGTTTGTAAAGTCTGCAAGTGGATATATGGACCGCATTGAGGCCTTCGTTGGAAACGGGATTTCTTCATTTCATGCTAGACAGAAGAATTCTCAGTAACTTCTTTGTGCTGTGTGTATTCAACTCACAGAGTGGAACGTCCCTTTGCACAGAGCAGATTTGAAACACTCTTTTTGTGGAGTTTGCAAGTGGAGATTTCAAGCGATTTGATGCCAACAGTAGAAAAGGAAATATCTTCAAATAAAAACTAGACAGAATCATTCTCAGAAACTACTTTGTGATGTGTGCCTTCAACTCACAGAGTTTAACCTTTCTTTTCTTAGAGCAGTTTAGAAACACTCTGCTTGTTATGTCTGCAAGTGGATATTTGGACCTCTTTGAGGCCTTCGTTGCAAACGGGGTTTCTTCCTTTCATGCTAGACTAAGAAGAGTTCTCAGTAACTTTTTTGTGTTGTGTGTATTCAACTCACAGAGTTGAACCTTGCTTTAGAGAGAGCAGATTTGAAACACTCTTGCTGTGGCATTTTCAGGTGGAGATTTCAAGCGATTTGAGGACAATTGCAGAAAAGGAAATATCTTCGTATAACAACCAGACAGAATCATTCTCAGAAAGTGCTTTGTGATGTGTGCGTTCCACTCACAGAGTTTAACCTTTCTTTTCATAGAGGAGTTTGGAAACACACTGTTTGTAAAGTCTGCAAGTGGATATATGGACCTGTTTGAGGCCTTCGTTGGAAACGGGATTTCTTCATTGAATGCTAGACGGAAGAATTCTCAGTAAATTCTTTGTGTTGTGTGCATTCAACTGACAGAGTGGAACGTCCCTTTAGACAGAGCAGATTTGAAACACTCTTTTTGCGGAATTTGCAAGTGGAGATTTCTAGCCATTTGATGCCAACAGTAGAAAGGGAAATATCTTCAAATAAAAACCAGACAGAATCATTCTCAGAAAATTCTTTGTGATGTGTGCGTTCAACTCACATAGTTTAACCTTTCTTTTCATAGAGCAGTTTGGAAACACTCTGTTTGTAAAGTCTGCAAGTGGATATATGGACCGCATTGAGACCTTCGTTGGAAACGGGATTTCTTCATTTCATGCTAGACAGAAGAATTCTCAGTAACTTCTTTGTGCTGTGTGTATTCAACTCACAGAGTGGAACGTCCCTTTGCACAGAGCAGATTTGAAACACTCTTTTTGTGGAGTTTGCAAGTGGAGATTTCAAGCGATTTGATGCCAACAGTAGAAAAGGAAATATCTTCAAATAAAAACTAGACAGAATCATTCTCAGAAACTACTTTGTGATGTGTGCCTTCAACTCACAGAGTTTAACCTTTCTTTTCTTAGAGCAGTTTAGAAACACTCTGCTTGTTATGTCTGCAAGTGGATATTTGGACCTCTTTGAGGCCTTCGTTGCAAACAGGGTTTCTTCCTTTAATGCTAGACTAAGAAGAGTTCTCAGTAACTTTTTTGTGTTGTGTGTATTCAACTCACAGAGTTGAACCTTGCTTTAGAGAGAGCAGATTTGAAACACTCTTGCTGTGGCATTTTCAGGTGGAGATTTCAAGCGATTTGAGGACAATTGCAGAAAAGGAAATATCTTCGTATAACAACCAGACAGAATCATTCTCAGAAAGTGCTTTGTGATGTGTGCGTTGAACTCACAGAGTTTAACCTTTCTTTTCATAGAGGAGTTTGGAAACACACTGTAAAGTCTGCAAGTGGATATATGGACCTGTTTGAGGCCTTCGTTGGAAACGGGATTTCTTCATTGAATGCTAGACGGAAGAATTCTCAGTAAATTCTTTGTGTTGTGTGCATTCAACTCACAGAGTGGAACGTCCCTTTAGACAGAGCAGATTTGAAACACTCTTTTTGCGGAATTTGCAAGTGGAGATTTCTAGCCATTTGATGCCAACAGTAGAAAGGGAAATATCTTCAAATAAAAACCAGACAGAATCATTCTCAGAAAATTCTTTGTGATGTGTGCGTTCAACTCACATAGTTTAACCTTTCTTTTCATAGAGCAGTTTGGAAACACTCTGTTTGTAAAGTCTGCAAGTGGATATATGGACCGCATTGAGGCCTTCGTTGGAAACGGGATTTCTTCATTTCATGCTAGACAGAAGAATTCTCAGTAACTTCTTTGTGCTGTGTGTATTCAACTCACAGAGTGGAACGTCCCTTTGCACAGAGCAGATTTGAAACACTCTTTTTGTGGAATTTGCAAGTGGAGATTTCAAGCGATTTGATGCCAACAGTAGAAAAGGAAATATCTTCAAATAAAAACTAGACAGAATCTTTCTCAGAAACTACTTTGTGATGTGTGCCTTCAACTCACAGAGTTTAACCTTTCTTTTCTTAGAGCAGTTTAGAAACACTCTGCTTGTTATGTCTGCAAGTGGATATTTGGACCTCTTTGAGGCCTTCGTTGCAAACGGGGTTTCTTCCTTTCATGCTAGACTAAGAAGAGTTCTCAGTAACTTTTTTGTGTTGTGTGTATTCAACTCACAGAGTTGAACCTTGCTTTAGAGAGAGCAGATTTGAAACACTCTTGCTGTGGCATTTTCAGGTGGAGATTTCAAGCGATTTGAGGACAATTGCAGAAAAGGAAATATCTTCGTATAACAACCAGACAGAATCATTCTCAGAAAGTGCTTTGTGATGTGTGCGTTCCACTCACAGAGTTTAACCTTTCTTTTCATAGAGGAGTTTGGAAACAAACTGTTTGTAAACTCTGCAAGTGGATATATGGACCTGTTTGAGGCCTTCGTTGGAAACGGGATTTCTTCATTGAATGCTAGACGGAAGAATTCTCAGTAAATTCTTTGTGTTGTGTGCATTCAACTCACAGAGTGGAACGTCCCTTTAGACAGAGCAGATTTGAAACACTCTTTTTGCGGAATTTGCAAGTGGAGATTTCTAGCCATTTGATGCCAACAGTAGAAAGGGAAATATCTTCAAATAAAAACCAGACAGAATCATTCTCAGAAAATTCTTTGTGATGTGTGCGTTCAACTCACATAGTTTAACCTTTCTTTTCATAGAGCAGTTTGGAAACACTCTGTTTGTAAAGTCTGCAAGTGGATATATGGACCGCATTGAGGCCTTCGTTGGAAACCGGATTTCTTCATTTCATGCTAGACAGAAGAATTCTCAGTAACTTCTTTGTGCTGTGTGTATTCAACTCACAGAGTGGAACGTCCCTTTGCACAGAGCAGATTTGAAACACTCTTTTTGTGGAGTTTGCAAGTGGAGATTTCAAGCGATTTGATGCCAACAGTAGAAAAGGAAGTATCTTCAAATAAAAACTAGACAGAATCATTCTCAGAAACTACTTTGTGATGTGTGCCTTCAACTCACCGAGTTTAACCTTTCTTTTCTGAGAGCAGCTTAGAAACACTCTGCTTGTTATGTCTGCAAGTTGATATTTGGACCTCTTTGAGGCCTTCGTTGCAAACGGGGTTTCTTCCTTTAATGCTAGACTAAGAAGAGTTCTCAGTAACTTTTTTGTGTTGTGTGTATTCAACTCACAGAGTTGAACCTTGCTTTAGAGAGAGCAGATTTGAAACACTCTTGCTGTGGCATTTTCAGGTGGAGATTTCAAGCGTTTTGAGGACAATTGCAGAAAAGGAAATATCTTCGTATAATAACCAGACAGAATCATTCTCAGAAAGTGCTTTGTGATGTGTGCGTTCAACTCACAGAGTTTAACTTTTCTTTCCATAGAGGAGTTTGGAAACACACTGTTTGTAAAGTCTGCAAGTGGATATATGGACCTGTTTGAGGCCTTCGTTGGAAACGGGATTTCTTCATTGAATGCTAGACGGAAGAATTCTCAGTAAATTCTTTGTGTTGTGTGCATTCAACTCACAGAGTGGAACGTCCCTTTAGACAGAGCAGATTTGAAACACTCTTTTTGCGGAATTTGCAAGTGGAGATTTCTAGCCATTTGATGCCAACAGTAGAAAGGGAAATATCTTCAAATAAAAACCAGACAGAATCATTCTCAGAAAATTCTTTGTGATGTGTGCGTTCAACTCACATAGTTTAACCTTTCTTTTCATAGAGCAGTTTGGAAACACTCTGTTTGTAAAGTCTGCAAGTGGATATATGGACCGCATTGAGGCCTTCGTTGGAAACGGGATTTCTTCATTTCATGCTAGACAGAAGAATTCTCAGTAACTTCTTTGTGCTGTGTGTATTCAACTCACAGAGTGGAACGTCCCTTTGCACAGAGCAGATTTGAAACACTCTTTTTGTGGAGTTTGCAAGTGGAGATTTCAAGCGATTTGATGCCAACAGTAGAAAAGGAAATATCTTCAAATAAAAACTAGACAGAATCATTCTCAGAAACTACTTTGTGATGTGTGCCTTCAACTCACAGAGTTTAACCTTTCTTTTCTTAGAGCAGTTTAGAAACACTCTGCTTGTTATGTCTGCAAGTGGATATTTGGACCTCTTTGAGGCCTTCGTTGCAAACGGGGTTTCTTCCTTTCATGCTAGACTAAGAAGAGTTCTCAGTAACTTTTTTGTGTTGTGTGTATTCAACTCACAGAGTTGAACCTTGCTTTAGAGAGAGCAGATTTGAAACACTCTTGCTGTGGCATTTTCAGGTGGAGATTTCAAGCGATTTGAGGACAATTGCAGAAAAGGAAATATCTTCGTATAATAACCAGACAGAATCATTCTCAGAAAGTGCTTTGTGATGTGTGCGTTCAACTCACAGAGTTTAACCTTTCTTTTCATAGAGGAGTTTGGAAACACACTGTTTGTAAAGTCTGCAATTGGATATATGGACCTGTTTGAGGCCTTCGTTGGAAACGGGATTTCTTCATTGAATGCTAGACGGAAGAATTCTCAGTAAATTCTTTGTGTTGTGTGCATTCAACTCACAGAGTGGAACGTCCCTTTAGACAGAGCAGATTTGAAACACTCTTTTTGCGGAATTTGCAAGTGGAGATTTCTAGCCATTTGATGCCAACAGTAGAAAGGGAAATATCTTCAAATAAAAACCAGACAGAATCATTCTCAGAAAATTCTTTGTGATGTGTGCGTTCAACTCACATAGTTTAACCTTTCTTTTCATAGAGCAGTTTGGAAACACTCTGTTTGTAAAGTCTGCAAGTGGATATATGGACCGCATTGAGGCCTTCGTTGGAAACGGGATTTCTTCATTTCATGCTAGACAGAAGAATTCTCAGTAACTTCTTTGTGCTGTGTGTATTCAACTCACAGAGTGGAACGTCCCTTTGCACAGAGCAGATTTGAAACACTCTTTTTGTGGAGTTTGCAAGTGGAGATTTCAAGCGATTTGATGCCAACAGTAGAAAAGGAAATATCTTCAAATAAAAACTAGACAGAATCATTCTCAGAAACTACTTTGTGATGTGTGCCTTCAACTCACAGAGTTTAACCTTTCTTTTCTTAGAGCAGTTTAGAAACACTCTGCTTGTTATGTCTGCAAGTGGATATTTGGACCTCTTTGAGGCCTTCGTTGCAAACGGGGTTTCTTCCTTTCATGCTAGACTAAGAAGAGTTCTCAGTAACTTTTTTGTGTTGTGTGTATTCAACTCACAGAGTTGAACCTTGCTTTAGAGAGAGCAGATTTGAAACACTCTTGCTGTGGCATTTTCAGGTGGAGATTTCAAGCGATTTGAGGACAATTACAGAAAAGGAAATATCTTCGTATAACAACCAGACAGAATCATTCTCAGAAAGTGCTTTGTGATGTGTGCGTTCAACTCACAGAGTTTAACCTTTCTTTTCACAGAGGAGTTTGGAAACACACTGTTTGTAAAGTCTGCAAGTGGATATATGGACCTGTTTGAGGCCTTCGTTGGAAACGGGATTTCTTCATTGAATGCTAGACGGAAGAATTCTCAGTAAATTCTTTGTGTTGTGTGCATTCAACTCACAGAGTGGAACGTCCCTTTAGACAGAGCAGATTTGAAACACTCTTTTTGCGGAATTTGCAAGTGGAGATTTCTAGCCATTTGATGCCAACAGTAGAAAGGGAAATATCTTCAAATAAAAACCAGACAGAATCATTCTCAGAAAATTCTTTGTGATGTGTGCGTTCAACTCACATAGTTTAACCTTTCTTTTCATAGAGCAGTTTGGAAACACTCTGTTTGTGAAGTCTGCAAGTGGATATATAGACCGCATTGAGGCCTTCGTTGGAAACGGGATTTCTTCATTTCATGCTAGACAGAAGAATTCTCAGTAACTTCTTTGTGCTGTGTGTATTCAACTCACAGAGTGGAACGTCCCTTTACACAGAGCAGATTTGAAACACTCTTTTTGTGGAGTTTGCAAGTGGAGATTTCAAGCGATTTGATGCCAACAGTAGAAAAGGAAATATCTTCAAATAAAAACTAGACAGAATCATTCTCAGAAACTACTTTGTGATGTGTGCCTTCAAATCACCGAGTTTAACCTTTCTTTTCTGAGAGCAGCTTAGAAACACTCTGCTTGTTATGTCTGCAAGTTGATATTTGGACCTCTTTGAGGCCTTCGTTGCAAACGGGGTTTCTTCCTTTAATGCTAGACTAAGAAGAGTTCTCAGTAACTTTTTTGTGTTGTGTGTATTCAACTCACAGAGTTGAACCTTGCTTTAGAGAGAGCAGATTTGAAACACTCTTGCTGTGGCATTTTCAGGTGGAGATTTCAAGCGATTTGAGGACAATTGCAGAAAAGGAAATATCTTCGTATAATAACCAGACAGAATCATTCTCAGAAAGTGCTTTGTGATGTGTGCGTTCAACTCACAGAGTTTAACCTTTCTTTTCATAGAGGAGTTTGGAAACACACTGTTTGTAAAGTCTGCAATTGGATATATGGACCTGTTTGAGGCCTCCGTTGGAAACGGGATTTCTTCATTGAATGCTAGACGGGAGAATTCTCAGTAAATTCTTTGTGTGGTGTGCATTCAACTCACAGAGTGGAACGTCCCTTTAGACAGAGCAGATTTGAAACACTCTTTTTGCGGAATTTGCAAGTGGAGATTTCTAGCCATTTGATGCCAACAGTAGAAAGGGAAATATCTTCAAATAAAAACCAGACAGAATCATTCTCAGAAAATTCTTTGTGATGTGTGCGTTCAACTCACATAGTTTAACCTTTCTTTTCATAGAGCAGTTTGGAAACACTCTGTTTGTAAAGTCTGCAAGTGGATATATGGACCGCATTGAGGCCTTCGTTGGAAACGGGATTTCTTCATTTCATGCTAGACAGAAGAATTCTCAGTAACTTCTTTGTGCTGTGTGTATTCAACTCACAGAGTGGAACGTCCCTTTGCACAGAGCAGATTTGAAACACTCTTTTTGTGGAGTTTGCAAGTGGAGATTTCAAGCGATTTGATGCCAACAGTAGAAAAGGAAATATCTTCAAATAAAAACTAGACAGAATCATTCTCAGAAACTACTTTGTGATGTGTGCCTTCAACTCACAGAGTTTAACCTTTCTTTTCTTAGAGCAGTTTAGAAACACTCTGCTTGTTATGTCTGCAAGTGGATATTTGGACCTCTTTGAGGCCTTCGTTGCAAACGGGGTTTCTTCCTTTCATGCTAGACTAAGAAGAGTTCTCAGTAACTTTTTTGTGTTGTGTGTATTCAACTCACAGAGTTGAACCTTGCTTTAGAGAGAGCAGATTTGAAACACTCTTGCTGTGGCATTTTCAGGTGGAGATTTCAAGCGATTTGAGGACAATTGCAGAAAAGGAAATATCTTCGTATAATAACCAGACAGAATCATTCTCAGAAAGTGCTTTGTGATGTGTGCGTTCCACTCACAGAGTTTAACCTTTCTTTTCATAGAGGAGTTTGGAAACACACTGTTTGTAAAGTCTGCAAGTGGATATATGGACCTGTTTGAGGCCTTCGTTGGAAACGGGATTTCTTCATTGAATGCTAGACGGAAGAATTCTCAGTAAATTCTTTGTGTTGTGTGCATTCAACTCACAGAGTGGAACGTTCCTTTAGACAGAGCAGATTTGAAACACTCTTTTTGCGGAATTTGCAAGTGGAGATTTCTAGCCATTTGATGCCAACAGTAGAAAGGGAAATATCTTCAAATAAAAACCAGACAGAATCATTCTCAGAAAATTCTTTGTGATGTGTGCGTTCAACTCACATAGTTTAACCTTTCTTTTCATAGAGCAGTTTGGAAACACTCTGTTTGTAAAGTCTGCAAGTGGATATATGGACCGCATTGAGGCCTTCGTTGGAAACGGGATTTCTTCATTTCATGCTAGACAGAAGAATTCTCTGTAACTTCTTTGTGCTGTGTGTATTCAACTCACAGAGTGGAACGTCCCTTTACACAGAGCAGATTTGAAACACTCTTTTTGTGGAGTTTGCAAGTGGAGATTTCAAGCGATTTGATGCCAACAGTAGAAAAGGAAATATCTTCAAATAAAAACTAGACAGAATCATTCTCAGAAACTACTTTGTGATGTGTGCCTTCAACTCACAGAGTTTAACCTTTCTTTTCTTAGAGCAGTTTAGAAACACTCTGCTTGTTATGTCTGCAAGTGGATATTTGGACCTCTTTGAGGCCTTCGTTGCAAACGGGGTTTCTTCCTTTCATGCTAGACTAAGAAGAGTTCTCAGTAACTTTTTTGTGTTGTGTGTATTCAACTCACAGAGTTGAACCTTGCTTTAGAGAGAGCAGATTTGAAACACTCTTGCTGTGGCATTTTCAGGTGGAGATTTCAAGCGATTTGAGGACAATTGCAGAAAAGGAAATATCTTCGTATAATAACCAGACAGAATCATTCTCAGAAAGTGCTTTGTGATGTGTGCGTTCAACTCACAGAGTTTAACCTTTCTTTTCATAGAGGAGTTTGGAAACACACTGTTTGTAAAGTCTGCAAGTGGATATATGGACCTGTTTGAGGCCTTCATTGGAAACGGGATTTCTTCATTGAATGCTAGACGGAAGAATTCTCAGTAAATTCTTTGTGTTGTGTGCATTCAACTCACAGAGTGGAACGTCCCTTTAGACAGAGCAGATTTGAAACACTCTTTTTGCGGAATTTGCAAGTGGAGATTTCTAGCCATTTGATGCCAACAGTAGAAAGGGAAATATCTTCAAATAAAAACCAGACAGAATCATTCTCAGCAAAATTCTTTGTGATGTGTGCGTTCAGCTCACATAGTTTAACCTTTCTTTTCATAGAGCAGTTTCGAAACACACTATTTGTAAAATCTGCAAGTGGATATATGTACCGCTTTGAGGCATTCCTTGGAAACGGGATTTCTTCATTGAATGCTAGACAGAAGAATTCTCAGTAACTTCTTTGTGTTGTGTGTATTCAACTCACAGAGTGGAACGTCCCTTTAGACAGAGAAGATTTGAAACACTCTTTTTGTGGAATTTGCAAGTGGAGATTTCAAGCGATTTGATGCCAGCAGTAGAAAAGGAAATATCTTCAAATAAAAACTAGACAGAATCATTCTCAGAAACTACTTTGTGATGTGTGCCTTCAACTCACAGAGTTTAACCTTTCTTTTCTTAGAGCAGTTTAGAAACACTCTGCTTCTTATGTCTGCAAGTGGATATTTGGACCTCTTTGAGGCCTTCGTTGCAAACGGGATTTCTTCCTTTAATGCTAGACTAAGAAGAGTTCTCAGTAACTTTTTTGTGTTGTGTGTATTCAACTCACAGAGTTGAACCTTGCTTTAGAGAGAGCAGATTTGAAACACTCTTGCTGTGGCATTTTCAGGTGGAGATTTCAAGCGATTTGAGGACAATTGCAGAAAAGGAAATATCTTCGTATAATAACCAGACAGAATCATTCTCAGAAAGTGCTTTGTGATGTGTGCGTTCAACTCACAGAGTTTAACCTTTCTTTTCATAGAGGAGTTTGGAAACACACTGTTTGTAAAGTCTGCAAGTAGATATATGGACCTGTTTGAGGCCTTCGTTGGAAACGGGATTTCTTCATTGAATGCTAGACGGAAGAATTCTCAGTAAATTCTTTGTGTTGTGTGCATTCAACTCACAGAGTGGAACGTCCCTTTAGACAGAGCAGATTTGAAACACTCTTTTTGCGGAATTTGCAAGTGGAGATTTCTAGCCATTTGATGCCAACAGTAGAAAGGGAAATATCTTCAAATAAAAACCAGACAGAATCATTCTCAGAAAATTCTTTGTGATGTGTGCGTTCAACTCACATAGTTTAACCTTTCTTTTCATAGAGCAGTTTGGAAACACTCTGTTTGTAAAGTCTGCAAGTGGATATATGGACCGCATTGAGGCCTTCGTTGGAAACGGGATTTCTTCATTTCATGCTAGACAGAAGAATTCTCAGTAACTTCTTTGTGCTGTGTGTATTCAACTCACAGAGTGGAACGTCCCTTTACACAGAGCAGATTTGAAACACTCTTTTTGTGGAGTTTGCAAGTGGAGATTTCAAGCGATTTGATGCCAACAGTAGAAAAGGAAATATCTTCAAATAAAAACTAGACAGAATCATTCTCAGAAAGTGCTTTGTGATGTGTGCCTTCAACTCACAGAGTTTAACCTTTCTTTTCTTAGAGCAGTTTAGAAACACTCTGCTTGTTATGTCTGCAAGTGGATATTTGGACCTCTTTGAGGCCTTCGTTGCAAACGGGGTTTCTTCCTTTCATGCTAGACTAAGAAGAGTTCTCAGTAACTTTTTTGTGTTGTGTGTATTCAACTCACAGAGTTGAACCTTGCTTTAGAGAGAGCAGATTTGAAACACTCTTGCTGTGGCATTTTCAGGTGGAGATTTCAAGCGATTTGAGGACAATTGCAGAAAAGGAAATATCTTCGTATAACAACCAGACAGAATCATTCTCAGAAAGTGCTTTGTGATGTGTGCGTTCAACTCACAGAGTTTAACTTTTCTTTCCATAGAGGAGTTTGGAAACACACTGTTTGTAAAGTCTGCAAGTGGATATATGGACCTGTTTGAGGCCTTCGTTGGAAACGGGATTTCTTCATTGAATGCTAGACGGAAGAATTCTCAGTAAATTCTTTGTGTTGTGTGCATTCAACTCACAGAGTGGAACGTCCCTTTAGACAGAGCAGATTTGAAACACTCTTTTTGCGGAATTTGCAAGTGGAGATTTCTAGCCATTTGATGCCAACAGTAGAAAGGGAAATATCTTCAAATAAAAACCAGACAGAATCATTCTCAGAAAATTCTTTGTGATGTGTGCGTTCAACTCACATAGTTTAACCTTTCTTTTCATAGAGCAGTTTGGAAACACTCTGTTTGTAAAGTCTGCAAGTGGATATATGGACCGCATTGAGGCCTTCGTTGGAAACGGGATTTCTTCATTTCATGCTAGACAGAAGAATTCTCAGTAACTTCTTTGTGCTGTGTGTATTCAACTCACAGAGTGGAACGTCCCTTTGCACAGAGCAGATTTGAAACACTCTTTTTGTGGAATTTGCAAGTGGAGATTTCAAGCGATTTGATGCCAACAGTAGAAAAGGAAATATCTTCAAATAAAAACTAGACAGAATCATTCTCAGAAACTACTTTGTGATGTGTGCCTTTAACTCACAGAGTTTAACCTTTCTTTTCTTAGAGCAGTTTAGAAACACTCTGCTTGTTATGTCTGCAAGTGGATATTTGGACCTCTTTGAGGCCTTCGTTGCAAACGGGGTTTCTTCCTTTAATGCTAGACTAAGAAGAGTTCTCAGTAACTTTTTTGTGTTGTGTGTATTCAACTCACAGAGTTGAACCTTGCTTTAGAGAGAGCAGGTTTGAAACACTCTTGCTGTGGCATTTTCAGGTGGAGATTTCAAGCGATTTGAGGACAATTGCAGAAACGGAAATATCTTCGTATAATAACCAGACAGAATCATTCTCAGAAAGTGCTTTGTGATGTGTGCGTTCAACTCACAGAGTTTAACCTTTCTTTTCATAGAGGAGTTTGGAAACACACTGTTTGTAAAGTCTGCAATTGGATATATGGACCTGTTTGAGGCCTTCGTTGGAAACGGGATTTCTTCATTGAATGCTAGACGGAAGAATTCTCAGTAAATTCTTTGTGTTGTGTGCATTCAACTCACAGAGTGGAACGTCCCTTTAGACAGAGCAGATTTGAAACACTCTTTTTGCGGAATTTGCAAGTGGAGATTTCTAGCCATTTGATGCCAACAGTAGAAAGGGAAATATCTTCAAATAAAAACCAGACAGAATCATTCTCAGAAAATTCTTTGTGATGTGTGCGTTCAACTCACATAGTTTAACCTTTCTTTTCATAGAGCAGTTTGGAAACACTCTGTTTGTAAAGTCTGCAAGTGGATATATGGACCGCATTGAGGCCTTCGTTGGAAACGGGATTTCTTCATTTCATGCTAGACAGAAGAATTCTCAGTAACTTCTTTGTGCTGTGTGTATTCAACTCACAGAGTGGAACGTCCCTTTACACAGAGCAGATTTGAAACACTCTTTTTGTGGAGTTTGCAAGTGGAGATTTCAAGCGATTTGATGCCAACAGTAGAAAAGGAAATATCTTCAAATAAAAACTAGACAGAATCATTCTCAGAAACTACTTTGTGATGTGTGCCTTCAACTCACAGAGTTTAACCTTTCTTTTCTTAGAGCAGTTTAGAAACACTCTGCTTGTTATGTCTGCAAGTGGATATTTGGACCTCTTTGAGGCCTTCGTTGCAAACGGGGTTTCTTCCTTTCATGCTAGACTAAGAAGAGTTCTCAGTAACTTTTTTGTGTTGTGTGTATTCAACTCACAGAGTTGAACCTTGCTTTAGAGAGAGCAGATTTGAAACACTCTTGCTGTGGCATTTTCAGGTGGAGATTTCAAGCGATTTGAGGACAATTGCAGAAAAGGAAATATCTTCGTATAATAACCAGACAGAATCATTTTCAGAAAATTCTTTGTGATGTGTGCGTTCAGCTCACATAGTTTAACTTTTCTTTTCATAGAGCAGTTTGGAAACACACTGTTTGTAAAGTCTGCAAGTGGATATATGGACCGCTTTGAGGCATTCGTTGGAAACGGGATTTCTTCATTGAATGCTAGACAGAAGAATTCTCAGTAAATTCTTTGTGTTGTGTGCATTCAACTCGCCGAGTGGAACGTCCCTTTAGACAGAGCAGATTTGAAACACTCTTTTTGCGAAATTTGGAAGTGGAGATTTCAAGCCATTTGATGCCAACAGTAGAAAGGGAAATATCTTCAAATAAAAATCAGACAGAATCATTCTCAGAAAATTCTTTGTGATGTGTGCATTCAACTCACGTAGTTTAACCTTTCTTTTCATAGAGCAGTTTGGAAACACTCTGTTTGTAAAGTCTGCAAGTGGATATATGGACCGCATTGAGGCCTTCGTTGGAAACGGGATTTCTTCATTTCATGCTAGACAGAAGAATTCTCAGTAACTTCTTTGTGCTGTGTGTATTCAACTCACAGAGTGGAACGTCCCTTTACACAGAGCAGATTTGAAACACTCTTTTTGTGGAGTTTGCAAGTGGAGATTTCAAGCGATTTGATGCCAGCAGTAGAAAAGGAAATATCTTCAAATAAAAACTAGACAGAATCATTCTCAGAAACTACTTTGTGATGTGTGCCTTCAACTCACAGAGTTTAACCTTTCTTTTCTTAGAGCAGTTTAGAAACACTCTGCTTGTTATGTCTGCAAGTGGATATTTGGACCTCTTTGAGGCCTTCGTTGCAAACGGGGTTTCTTCCTTTCATGCTAGACTAAGAAGAGTTCTCAGTAACTTTTTTGTGTTGTGTGTATTCAACTCACAGAGTTGAACCTTGCTTTAGAGAGAGCAGATTTGAAACACTCTTGCTGTGGCATTTTCAGGTGGAGATTTCAAGCGATTTGAGGACAATTGCAGAAAAGGAAATATCTTCGTATAATAACCAGACAGAATCATTCTCAGAAAGTGCTTTGTGATGTGTGCGTTCCACTCACAGAGTTTAACCTTTCTTTTCATAGAGGAGTTTGGAAACACACTGTTTGTAAAGTCTGCAATTGGATATATGGACCTGTTTGAGGCCTTCGTTGGAAACGGGATTTCTTCATTGAATGCTAGACGGAAGAATTCTCAGTAAATTCTTTGTGTTGTGTGCATTCAACTCACAGAGTGGAACGTCCCTTTAGACAGAGCAGATTTGAAACACTCTTTTTGCGGAATTTGCAAGTGGAGATTTCTAGCCATTTGATGCCAACAGTAGAAAGGGAAATATCTTCAAATAAAAACCAGACAGAAATCATTCTCAGAAAATTCTTTGTGATGTGTGCGTTCAAATCACATAGTTTAACCTTTCTTTTCATAGAGCAGTTTGGAAACACTCTGTTTGTAAAGTCTGCAAGTGGATATATGGACCGCATTGAGGCCTTCGTTGGAAACGGGATTGCTCCATTTCATGCTAGACAGAAGAATTCTCAGTAACTTCTTTGTGCTGTGTGTATTCAACTCACAGAGTGGAACGTCCCTTTACACAGAGCAGATTTGAAACACTCTTTTTGTGGAGTTTGCAACTGGAGATTTCAAGCGATTTGATGCCAACAGTAGAAAAGGAAATATCTTCAAATAAAAACTAGACAGAATCATTCTCAGAAACTACTTTGTGATGTGTGCCTTCAACTCAAAGAGTTTAACCTTTCTTTTCTGAGAGCAGCTTAGAAACACTCTGCTTGTTATGTCTGCAAGTTGATATTTGGACCTCTTTGAGGCCTTCGTTGCAAACGGGGTTTCTTCCTTTAATGCTAGACTAAGAAGAGTTCTCAGTAACTTTTTTGTGTTGTGTGTATTCAACTCACAGAGCTGAACCTTGCTTTAGAGAGAGCAGATTTGAAACACTCTTGCTGTGGCATTTTCAGGTGGAGATTTCAAGCGATTTGAGAACAATTGCAGAAAAGGAAATATCTTCGTATAACAACCAGACAGAATCATTCTCAGAAAGTGCTTTGTGATGTGTGCCGTTCAACTCACAGAGTTTAACCTTTCTTTTCATAGAGGAGTTTGGAAACACACTGTTTCTAAAGTCTGCAATTGGATATATGGACCTGTTTGAGGCCTTCGTTGGAAACGGGATTTCTTCATTGAATGCTAGACGGAAGAATTCTCAGTAAATTCTTTGTGTTGTGTGCATTCAACTCACAGAGTGGAACGTCCCTTTAGACAGAGCAGATTTGAAACACTCTTTTTGCGGAATTTGCAAGTGGAGATTTCTAGCCATTTGATGCCAACAGTAGAAAGGGAAATATCTTCAAATAAAAACCAGACAGAATCATTCTCAGAAAATTCTTTGTGATGTGTGCGTTCAACTCACATAGTTTAACCTTTCTTTTCATAGAGCAGTTTGGAAACACTCTGTTTGTAAAGTCTGCAAGTGGATATATGGACCGCATTGAGGCCTTCGTTGGAAACGGGATTTCTTCATTTCATGCTAGACAGAAGAATTCTCAGTAACTTCTTTGTGCTGTGTGTATTCAACTCACAGAGTGGAACGTCCCTTTGCACAGAGCAGATTTGAAACACTCTTTTTGTGGAGTTTGCAAGTGGAGATTTCAAGCGATTTGATGCCAACAGTAGAAAAGGAAATATCTTCAAATAAAAACTAGACAGAATCATTCTCAGAAACTACTTTGTGATGTGTGCCTTCAACTCACAGAGTTTAACCTTTCTTTTCTTAGAGCAGTTTAGAAACACTCTGCTTGTTATGTCTGCAAGTGGATATTTGGACCTCTTTGAGGCCTTCGTTGCAAACGGGGTTTCTTCCTTTCATGCTAGACTAAGAAGAGTTCTCAGTAACATTTCTGTGTTGTGTGTATTCAACTCACAGAGTTGAACCTTGCTTTAGAGAGAGCAGATTTGAAACACTCTTGCTGTGGCATTTTCAGGTGGAGATTTCAATCGTTTTGAGGACAATTGCAGAAAAGGAAATATCTTCGTATAATAACCAGACAGAATCATTCTCAGAAAGTGCTTTGTGATGTGTGCGTTCCACTCACAGAGTTTAACCTTTCTTTTCATAGAGGAGTTTGGAAACACACTGTTTGTAAAGTCTGCAAGTGGATATATGGACCTCTTTGAGGCCTTCGTTGGAAACGGGATTTCTTCATTGAATGCTAGACGGAAGAATTCTCAGTAAATTCTTTGTGTTGTGTGCATTCAACTCACAGAGTGGAACGTCCCTTTAGACAGAGCAGATTTGAAACACTCTTTTTGCGGAATTTGCAAGTGGAGATTTCTAGCCATTTGATGCCAACAGTAGAAAGGGAAATATCTTCAAATAAAAACCAGACAGAATCATTCTCAGAAAATTCTTTGTGATGTGTGCGTTCAACTCACAATAGTATAACCTTTCTTTTCATAGAGCAGTTTGGAAACACTCTGTTTGTAAAGTCTGCAAGTGGATATATGGACCGCATTGAGGCCTTCGTTGGAAACGGGATTTCTTCATTTCATGCTAGACAGAAGAATTCTCAGTAACTTCTTTGTGCTGTGTGTATTCAACTCACAGAGTGGAACGTCCCTTTGCACAGAGCAGATTTGAAACACTCTTTTTGTGGAATTTGCAAGTGGAGATTTCAAGCGATTTGATGCCAACAGTAGAAAAGGAAATATCTTCAAATAAAAACTAGACAGAATCATTCTCAGAAACTACTTTGTGATGTGTGCCTTCAACTCACAGAGTTTAACCTTTCTTTTCTTAGAGCAGTTTAGAAACACTCTGCTTGTTATGTCTGCAAGTGGATATTTGGACCTCTTTGAGGCCTTCGTTGCAAACGGGGTTTCTTCCTTTCATGCTAGACTAAGAAGAGTTCTCAGTAACTTTTTTGTGTTGTGTGTATTCAACTCACAGAGTTGAACCTTGCTTTAGAGAGAGCAGATTTGAAACACTCTTGCTGTGGCATTTTCAGGTGGAGATTTCAAGCGATTTGAGGACAATTGCAGAAAAGGAAATATCTTCGTATAATAACCAGACAGAATCATTCTCAGAAAGTGCTTTGTGATGTGTGCGTTCAACTCACAGAGTTTAACCTTTCTTTTCATAGCGGAGATTGGAAACACACTGTTTGTAAAGTCTGCAATTGGATATATGGACCTGTTTGAGGCCTTCGTTGGAAACGGGATTTCTTCATTGAATGCTAGACGGAAGAATTCTCAGTAAATTCTTTGTGTTGTGTGCATTCAACTCACAGAGTGGAACGTCCCTTTAGACAGAGCAGATTTGAAACACTCTTTTTGCGGAATTTGCAAGTGGAGATTTCTAGCCATTTGATGCCAACAGTAGAAAGGGAAATATCTTCAAATAAAAACCAGACAGAATCATTCTCAGAAAATTCTTTGTGATGTGTGCGTTCAACTCACATAGTTTAACCTTTCTTTTCATAGAGCAGTTTGGAAACACTCTGTTTGTAAAGTCTGCAAGTGGATATATGGACCGCATTGAGGCCTTCGTTGGAAACGGGATTTCTTCATTTCATGCTAGACAGAAGAATTCTCAGTAACTTCTTTGTGCTGTGTGTATTCAACTCACAGAGTGGAACGTCCCTTTACACAGAGCAGATTTGAAACACTCTTTTTGTGGAGTTTGCAAGTGGAGATTTCAAGCGATTTGATGCCAACAGTAGAAAAGGAAATATCTGCAAACAAAAACTAGACAGAATCATTCTCAGAAACTACTTTGTGATGTGTGCCTTCAACTCACAGAGTTTAACCTTTCTTTTCTTAGAGCAGTTTAGAAACACTCTGCTTGTTATGTCTGCAAGTGGATATTTGGACCTCTTTGAGGCCTTCGTTGCAAACGGCGTTTCTTCCTTTACTGCTAGACTAAGAAGAGTTCTCAGTAACTTTTTTGTGTTGTGTGTATTCAACTCACAGAGTTGAACCTTGCTTTAGAGAGAGCAGATTTGAAACACTCTTGCTGTGGCATTTTCAGGTGGAGATTTCAAGCGATTTGAGGACAATTGCAGAAAAGGAAATATCTTCGTATAATAACCAGACAGAATCATTCTCAGAAAGTGCTTTGTGATGTGTGCGTTCAACTCACAGAGTTTAACCTTTCTTTTCATAGAGGAGTTTGGAAACACACTGTTTGTAAAGTCTGCAATTGGATATATGGACCTGTTTGAGGCCTTCGTTGGAAACGGGATTTCTTCATTGCATGCTAGACGGAAGAATTCTCAGTAAATTCTTTGTGTTGTGTGCATTCAACTCACAGAGTGGAACGTCCCTTTAGACAGAGCAGATTTGAAACACTCTTTTTGCGGAATTTGCAAGTGGAGATTTCTAGCCATTTGATGCCAACAGTAGAAAGGGAAATATCTTCAAATAAAAACCAGACAGAATCATTCTCAGAAAATTCTTTGTGATGTGTGCGTTCAACTCACATAGTTTAACCTTTCTTTTCATAGAGCAGTTTGGAAACACTCTGTTTGTAAAGTCTGCAAGTGGATATATGGACCGCATTGAGGCCTTCGTTGGAAACGGGATTTCTTCATTTCATGCTAGACAGAAGAATTCTCAGTAACTTCTTTGTGCTGTGTGTATTCAACTCACAGAGTGGAACGTCCCTTTACACAGAGCAGATTTGAAACACTCTATTTGTGGAGTTTGCAAGTGGAGATTTCAAGCGATTTGATGCCAACAGTAGAAAAGGAAATATCTTCAAATAAAAACTAGACAGAATCATTCTCGGAAACTACTTTGTGATGTGTGCCTTCAACTCACAGAGTTTAACCTTTCTTTTCTTAGAGCAGTTTAGAAACACTCTGCTTGTTATGTCTGCAAGTGGATATTTGGACCTCTTTGAGGCCTTCGTTGCAAACGGGGTTTCTTCCTTTCATGCTAGACTAAGAAGAGTTCTCAGTAACTTTTTTGTGTTGTGTGTATTCAACTCACAGAGTTGAACCTTGCTTTAGAGAGAGCAGATTTGAAACACTCTTGCTGTGGCATTTTCAGGTGGAGATTTCAAGCGATTTGAGGACAATTGCAGAAAAGGAAATATCTTCGTATAATAACCAGACAGAATCATTCTCAGAAAGTGCTTTGTGTTGTGTGCGTTCAACTCACAGAGTTTAACCTTTCTTTTCATAGAGGAGTTTGGAAACACACTGTTTGTAAAGTCTGCAATTGGATATATGGACCTGTTTGAGGCCTTCGTTGGAAACGGGATTTCTTCATTGAATGCTAGACGGAAGAATTCTCAGTAAATTCTTTGTGTGGTGTGCATTCAACTCACAGAGTGGAACGTCCCTTTAGACAGAGCAGATTTGAAACACTCTTTTTGCGGAATTTGCAAGTGGAGATTTCTAGCCATTTGATGCCAACAGTAGAAAGGGAAATATCTTCAAATAAAAACCAGACAGAATCATTCTCAGAAAATTCTTTGTGATGTGTGCGTTCAACTCACATAGTTTAACCTTTCTTTTCATAGAGCAGTTTGGAAACACTCTGTTTGTAAAGTCTGCAAGTGGATATATGGACCGCATTGAGGCCTTCGTTGGAAACGGGATTTCTTCATTTCATGCTAGACAGAAGAATTCTCAGTAACTTCTTTGTGCTGTGTGTATTCAACTCACAGAGTGGAACGTCCCTTTGCACAGAGCAGATTTGAAACACTCTTTTTGTGGAATTTGCAAGTGGAGATTTCAAGCGATTTGATGCCAACAGTAGAAAAGGAAATATCTTCAAATAAAAACTAGACAGAATCATTCTCAGAAACTACTTTGTGATGTGTGCCTTCAACTCACAGAGTTTAACCTTTCTTTTCTTAGAGCAGTTTAGAAACACTCTGCTTGTTATGTCTGCAAGTGGATATTTGGACCTCTTTGAGGCCTTCGTTGCAAACGGGGTTTCTTCCTTTCATGCTAGACTAAGAAGAGTTCTCAGTAACTTTTTGTGTTGTGTGTATTCAACTCACAGAGTTGAACCTTGCTTTAGAGAGAGCAGATTTGAAACACTCTTGCTGTGGCATTTTCAGGTGGAGATTTCAAGCGATTTGAGGACAATTGCAGAAAAGGAAATATCTTCGTATAATAACCAGACAGAATCATTCTCAGAAAGTGCTTTGTGATGTGTGCGTTCAACTCACAGAGTTTAACCTTTCTTTTCATAGAGGAGTTTGGAAACACACTGTTTGTAAAGTCTGCAGGTGGATACATGGACCTGTTTGAGGCCTTCGTTGGAAACGGGATTTCTTCATTGAATGCTAGACGGAAGAATTCTCAGTAAATTCTTTGTGTTGTGTGCATTCAACTCACAGAGTGGAACGTCCCTTTAGACAGAGCAGATTTGAAACACTCTTTTTGCGGAATTTGCAAGTGGAGATTTCTAGCCATTTGATGCCAACAGTAGAAAGGGAAATATCTTCAAATAAAAACCAGACAGAATCATTCTCAGAAAATTCTTTGTGATGTGTGCGTTCAACTCACATAGTTTAACCTTTCTTTTCATAGAGCAGTTTGGAAACACTCTGTTTGTAAAGTCTGCAAGTGGATATATGGACCGCATTGAGGCCTTCGTTGGAAACGGGATTTCTTCATTTCATGCTAGACAGAAGAATTCTCAGTAACTTCTTTGTGCTGTGTGTATTCAACTCACAGAGTGGAACGTCCCTTTGCACAGAGCAGATTTGAAACACTCTTTTTGTGGAGTTTGCAAGTGGAGATTTCAAGCGATTTGATGCCAACAGTAGAAAAGGAAATATCTTCAAATAAAAACTAGACAGAATCATTCTCAGAAACTACTTTGTGATGTGTGCCTTCAACTCACAGAGTTTAACCTTTCTTTTCTTAGAGCAGTTTAGAAACACTCTGCTTGTTATGTCTGCAAGTGGATATTTGGACCTCTTTGAGGCCTTCGTTGCAAACGGGGTTTCTTCCTTTCATGCTAGACTAAGAAGAATTCTCAGTAACTTCTTTGTGCTGTGTGTATTCAACTCACAGAGTTGAACCTTGCTTTAGAGAGAGCAGATTTGAAACACTCTTGCTGTGGCATTTTCAGGTGGAGATTTCAAGCGATTTGAGGAAAATTGCAGAAAAGGAAATATCTTCGTATAACAACCAGACAGAATCATTCTCAGAAAGTGCTTTGTGTTGTGTGCGTTCAACTCACAGAGTTTAACCTTTCTTTTCATAGAGGAGTTTGGAAACACACTGTTTGTAAAGTCTGCAATTGGATATATGGACCTGTTTGAGGCCTTCGTTGGAAACGGGATTTCTTCATTGAATGCTAGACGGAAGAATTCTCAGTAAATTCTTTGTGTTGTGTGCATTCAACTGACAGAGTGGAACGTCCCTTTAGACAGAGCAGATTTGAAACACTCTTTTTGCGGAATTTGCAAGTGGAGATTTCTAGCCATTTGATGCCAACAGTAGAAAGGGAAATATCTTCAAATAAAAACCAGACAGAATCATTCTCAGAAAATTCTTTGTGATGTGTGCGTTCAACTCACATAGTTTAACCTTTCTTTTCATAGAGCAGTTTGGAAACACTCTGTTTGTAAAGTCTGCAAGTGGATCTATGGACCGCATTGAGGCCTTCGTTGGAAACGGGATTTCTTCATTTCATGCTAGACAGAAGAATTCTCAGTAACTTCTTTGTGCTGTGTGTATTCAACTCACAGAGTGGAACGTCCCTTTGCACAGAGCAGATTTGAAACACTCTTTTTGTGGATTTTGCAAGTGGAGATTTCAAGCGATTTGATGCCAACAGTAGAAAAGGAAATATCTTCAAATAAAAACTAGACAGAATCATTCTCAGAAACTACTTTGTGATGTGTGCCTTCAACTCACAGAGTTTAACCTTTCTTTTCTTAGAGCAGTTTAGAAACACTCTGCTTGTTATGTCTGCAAGTGGATATTGGGACCTCTTTGAGGCCTTCGTTGCAAACGGGGTTTCTTCGTTTAATGCTAGACTAAGAAGAGTTCTCAGTAACTTTTTTGTGTTGTGTGTATTCAACTCACAGAGTTGAACCTTGCTTTAGAGAGAGCAGATTTGAAACACTCTTGCTGTGGCATTTTCAGGTGGAGATTTCAAGCGATTTGAGGACAATTGCAGAAAAGGAAATATCTTCGTATAATAACCAGACAGAATCATTCTCAGAAAGTGCTTTGTGATGTGTGCGTTGAACTCACAGAGTTTAACCTTTCTTTTCATAGAGGAGTTTGGAAACACACTGTTTGTAAAGTCTGCAAGTGGATATATGGACCTGTTTGAGGCCTTCGTTGGAAACGGGATTTCTTCATTGAATGCTAGACGGAAGAATTCTCAGTAAATTCTTTGTGTTGTGTGCATTCAACTCACAGAGTGGAACGTCCCTTTAGACAGAGCAGATTTGAAACACTCTTTTTGCGGAATTTGCAAGTGGAGATTTCTAGCCATTTGATGCCAACAGTAGAAAGGGAAATATCTTCAAATAAAAACCAGACAGAATCATTCTCAGAAAATTCTTTGTGATGTGTGCGTTCAACTCACATAGTTTAACCTTTCTTTTCATAGAGCAGTTTGGAAACACTCTGTTTGTAAAGTCTGCAAGTGGATATATGGACCGCATTGAGGCCTTCGTTGGAAACGGGATTTCTTCATTTCATGCTAGACAGAAGAATTCTCAGTAACTTCTTTGTGCTGTGTGTATTCAACTCACAGAGTGGAACGTCCCTTTGCACAGAGCAGATTTGAAACACTCTTTTTGTGGAGTTTGCAAGTGGAGATTTCAAGCGATTTGATGCCAACAGTAGAAAAGGAAATATCTTCAAATAAAAACTAGACAGAATCATTCTCAGAAAATTCTTTGTGATGTGTGCGTTCAACTCACATAGTTTAACCTTTCTTTTCTTAGAGCAGTTTAGAAACACTCTGCTTGTTATGTCTGCAAGTGGATATTTGGACCTCTTTGAGGCCTTCGTTGCAAACGGGGTTTCTTCCTTTCATGCTAGACTAAGAAGAGTTCTCAGTAACTTTTTGTGTTGTGTGTATTCAACTCACAGAGTTGAACCTTGCTTTAGAGAGAGCAGATTTGAAACACTCTTGCTGTGGCATTTTCAGGTGGAGATTTCAAGCGATTTGAGGACAATTGCAGAAAAGGAAATATCTTCGTATAATAACCAGACAGAATCATTCTCAGAAAGTGCTTTGTGATGTGTGCGTTCCACTCACAGAGTTTAACCTTTCTTTTCATAGAGGAGTTTGGAAACAAACTGTTTGTAAACTCTGCAAGTGGATAAATGGACCTGTTTGAGGCCTTCGTTGGAAACGGGATTTCTTCATTGAATGCTAGACGGAAGAATTCTCAGTAAATTCTTTGTGTTGTGTGCATTCAACTCACAGAGTGGAACGTCCCTTTAGACAGAGCAGATTTGAAACACTCTTTTTGCGGAATTTGCAAGTGGAGATTTCTAGCCATTTGATGCCAACAGTAGAAAGGGAAATATCTTCAAATAAAAACCAGACAGAATCATTCTCAGAAAATTTTTTGTGATGTGTGCGTTCAACTCACATAGTTTAACCTTTCTTTTCATAGAGCAGTTTGGAAACACTCTGTTTGTAAAGTCTGTAAGTGGATATATGGACCGCATTGAGGCCTTCGTTGGAAACGGGATTTCTTCATTTCATGCTAGACAGAAGAATTCTCAGTAACTTCTTTGTGCTGTGTGTATTCAACTCACAGAGTGGAACGTCCCTTTGCACAGAGCAGATTTGAAACACTCTTTTTGTGGAATTTGCAAGTGGAGATTTCAAGCGATTTGATGCCAACAGTAGAAAAGGAAATATCTTCAAATAAAAACTAGACAGAATCATTCTCAGATACTACTTTGTGATGTGTGCCTTCAACTCACAGAGTTTAACCTTTCTTTTCTTAGAGCAGTTTAGAAACACTCTGCTTGTTATGTCTGCAAGTGGATATTTGGACCTCTTTGAGGCCTTCGTTGCAAACGGGGTTTCTTCCTTTCATGCTAGACTAAGAAGAGTTCTCAGTAACTTTTTTGTGTTGTGTGTATTCAACTCACAGAGCTGAACCTTGCTTTAGAGAGAGCAGATTTGAAACACTCTTGCTGTGGCATTTTCAGGTGGAGATTTCAAGCGATTTGAGGACAATTGCAGAAAAGGAAATATCTTCGTATAACAACCAGACAGAATCATTCTCAGAAAGTGCTTTGTGATGTGTGCGTTCCACTCACAGAGTTTAACCTTTCTTTTCATAGAGGAGTTTGGAAACACACTGTTTGTAAAGTCTGCAAGTGGATATATGGACCTGTTTGAGGCCTTCGTTGGAAACGGGATTTCTTCATTGAATGCTAGACGGAAGAATTCTCAGTAAATTCTTTGTGTGGTGTGCATTCAACTCACAGAGTGGAACGTCCCTTTAGACAGAGCAGATTTGAAACACTCTTTTTGCGGAATTTGCAAGTGGAGATTTCTAGCCATTTGATGCCAACAGTAGAAAGGGAAATATCTTCAAATAAAAACCAGACAGAATCATTCTCAGAAAATTCTTTGTGATGTGTGCGTTCAACTCACATAGTTTAACCTTTCTTTTCATAGAGCAGTTTGGAAACACTCTGTTTGTAAAGTCTGCAAGTGGATATATGGACCGCATTGAGGCCTTCGTTGGAAACGGGATTTCTTCATTTCATGCTAGACAGAAGAATTCTCAGTAACTTCTTTGTGCTGTGTGTATTCAACTCACAGAGTGGAACGTCCCTTTACACAGAGCAGATTTGAAACACTCTTTTTGTTGAATTTGCAAGTGGAGATTTCAAGCGATTTGATGCCAACAGTAGAAAAGGAAATATCTTCAAATAAAAACTAGACAGAAATCATTCTCAGAAACTACTTTGTGATGTGTGCCTTCAACTCACAGAGTTTAACCTTTCTTTTCTTAGAGCAGTTTAGAAACACTCTGCTTGTTATGTCTGCAAGTGGATATTTGGACCTCTTTGAGGCCTTCGTTGCAAACGGGGTTTCTTCCTTTCATGCTAGACTAAGAAGAGTTCTCAGTAACTTTTTTGTGTTGTGTGTATTCAACTCACAGAGCTGAACCTTGCTTTAGAGAGAGCAGATTTGAAACACTCTTGCTGTGGCATTTTCAGGTGGAGATTTCAAGCGATTTGAGGACAATTGCAGAAAAGGAAATATCTTCGTATAACAACCAGACAGAATCATTCTCAGAAAGTGCGTTGTGATGTGTGCGTTCAACTCACAGAGTTTAACCTTTCTTTTCATAGAGGAGCTTGGAAACACACTGTTTGTAATGTCTGCAATTGGATATATGGACCTGTTTGAGGCCTCCGTTGGAAACGGAATTTCTTCATTGAATGCTAGACGGAAGAATTCTCAGTAAATTCTTTGTGTTGTGTGCATTCAACTGACAGAGTGGAACGTCCCTTTAGACAGAGCAGATTTGAAACACTCTTTTTGCGGAATTTGCAAGTGGAGATTTCTAGCCATTTGATTCCAACAGTAGAAAGGGAAATATCTTCAAATAAAAACCAGACAGAATCATTCTCAGAAAATTCTTTGTGATGTGTGCGTTCAACTCACATAGTTTTACCTTTCTTTTCATAGAGCAGTTTGGAAACACTCTGTTTGTAAAGTCTGCAAGTGGATATATGGACCGCATTGAGGCCTTCGTTGGAAACGGGATTTCTTCATTTCATGCTAGACAGAAGAATTCTCAGTAACTTCTTTGTGCTGTGTGTATTCAACTCACAGAGTGGAACGTCCCTTTGCACAGAGCAGATTTGAAACACTCTTTTTGTGGAATTTGCAAGTGGAGATTTCAAGCGATTTGATGCCAACAGTAGAAAAGGAAATATCTTCAAATAAAAACTAGACAGAATCATTCTCAGAAACTACTTTGTGATGTGTGCCTTCAACTCACAGAGTTTAACCTTTCTTTTCTTAGAGCAGTTTAGAAACACTCTGCTTGTTATGTCTGCAAGTGGATATTTGGACCTCTTTGAGGCCTTCGTTGCAAACGGGGTTTCTTCCTTTAATGCTAGACTAAGAAGAGTTCTCAGTAACTTTTTTGTGTTGTGTGTATTCAACTCACAGAGTTGAACCTTGCTTTAGAGAGAGCAGATTTGAAACACTCTTGCTGTGGCATTTTCAGGTGGAGATTTCAAGCGTTTTGAGGACAATTGCAGAAAAGGAAATATCTTCGTATAATAACCAGACAGAATCATTCTCAGAAAGTGCTTTGTGATGTGTGCGTTCCACTCACAGAGTTTAACCTTTCTTTTCATAGAGGAGTTTGGAAACACACTGTTTGTAAAGTCTGCAAGTGGATATATGGACCTGTTTGAGGCCTTCGTTGGAAACGGGATTTCTTCATTGAATGCTAGACGGAAGAATTCTCAGTAAATTCTTTGTGTTGTGTGCATTCAACTCACAGAGTGGAACGTCCCTTTAGACAGAGCAGATTTGAAACACTCTTTTTGCGGAATTTGCAAGTGGAGATTTCTAGCCATTTGATGCCAACAGTAGAAAGGGAAATATCTTCAAATAAAAACCAGACAGAATCATTCTCAGAAAATTCTTTGTGATGTGTGCGTTCAACTCACATAGTTTAACCTTTCTTTTCATAGAGCAGTTTGGAAACACTCTGTTTGTAAAGTCTGCAAGTGGATATATGGACCGCATTGAGGCCTTCGTTGGAAACGGGATTTCTTCATTTCATGCTAGACAGAAGAATTCTCAGTAACTTCTTTGTGCTGTGTGTATTCAACTCACAGAGTGGAACGTCCCTTTACACAGAGCAGATTTGAAACACTCTTTTTGTGGAGTTTGCAAGTGGAGATTTCAAGCGATTTGATGCCAACAGTAGAAAAGGAAATATCTTCAAATAAAAACTAGACAGAATCATTCTCAGAAACTACTTTGTGATGTGTGCCTTCAACTCACAGAGTTTAACCTTTCTTTTCATAGAGCAGTTTAGAAACACTCTGCTTGTTATGTCTGCAAGTGGATATTTGGACCTCTTTGAGGCCTTCGTTGCAAACGGGGTTTCTTCCTTTCATGCTAGACTAAGAAGAGTTCTCAGTAACTTTTTTGTGTTGTGTGTATTCAACTCACAGAGTTGAACCTTGCTTTAGAGAGAGCAGATTTGAAACACTCTTGCTGTGGCATTTTCAGGTGGAGATTTCAAGCGATTTGAGGACAATTGCAGAAAAGGAAATATCTTCGTATAATAACCAGACAGAATCATTCTCAGAAAGTACTTTGTGATGTGTGCGTTCCACTCACAGAGTTTAACCTTTCTTTTCATAGAGGAGTTTGGAAACACACTGTTTGTAAAGTCTGCAAGTGGATATATGGACCTCTTTGAGGCCTTCGTTGGAAACGGGATTTCTTCATTGAATGCTAGACGGAAGAATTCTCAGTAAATTCTTTGTGTTGTGTGCATTCAACTCACAGAGTGGAACGTCCCTTTAGACAGAGCAGATTTGAAACACTCTTTTTGCGGAATTTGCAAGTGGAGATTTCTAGCCATTTGATGCCAACAGTAGAAAGGGAAATATCTTCAAATAAAAACCAGACAGAATCATTCTCAGAAAATTCTTTGTGATGTGTGCGTTCAACTCACATAGTTTAACCTTTCTTTTCATAGAGCAGTTTGGAAACACTCTGTTTGTAAAGTCTGAAAGTGGATATATGGACCGCATTGAGGCCTTCGTTGGAAACGGGATTTCTTCATTTCATGCTAGACAGAAGAATTCTCAGTAACTTCTTTGTGCTGTGTGTATTCAACTCACAGAGTGGAACGTCCCTTTACACAGAGCAGATTTGAA
This sequence comes from Homo sapiens, assembly GCF_000001405.40. Lineage (NCBI taxonomy): Eukaryota > Metazoa > Chordata > Mammalia > Primates > Hominidae > Homo > Homo sapiens. The sequence goes on from NC_000007.14 coordinate 60,695,782, forward strand.
ACACTCTTTTTGTGGAATTTGCAAGTGGAGATTTCAAGCGATTTGATGCCAACAGTAGAAAAGGAAATATCTTCAAATAAAAACTAGACAGAATCATTCTCAGAAACTACTTTGTGATGTGTGCCTTCAACTCACAGAGTTTAACCTTTCTTTTCTTAGAGCAGTTTAGAAACACTCTGCTTGTTATGTCTGCAAGTGGATATTTGGACCTCTTTGAGGCCTTCGTTGCAAACGGGGTTTCTTCCTTTCATGCTAGACTAAGAAGAGTTCTCAGTAACTTTTTTGTGTTGTGTGTATTCAACTCACAGAGTTGAACCTTGCTTTAGAGAGAGCAGATTTGAAACACTCTTGCTGTGGCATTTTCAGGTGGAGATTTCAAGCGATTTGAGGACAATTGCAGAAAAGGAAATATCTTCGTATAATAACCAGACAAGAATCATTCTCAGAAAGTGCTTTGTGATGTGTGCGTTCAACTCACAGAGTTTAACCTTTCTTTTCATAGAGGAGTTTGGAAACACACTGTTTGTAAAGTCTGCAATTGGATATATGGACCTGTTTGAGGCCTTCGTTGGAAACGGGATTTCTTCATTGCATGCTAGACGGAAGAATTCTCAGTAAATTCTTTGTGTTGTGTGCATTCAACTCACAGAGTGGAACGTCCCTTTAGACAGAGCAGATTTGAAACACTCTTTTTGCGGAATTTGCAAGTGGAGATTTCTAGCCATTTGATGCCAACAGTAGAAAGGGAAATATCTTCAAATAAAAACCAGACAGAATCATTCTCAGAAAATTCTTTGTGATGTGTGCGTTCAACTCACATAGTTTAACCTTTCTTTTCATAGAGCAGTTTGGAAACACTCTGTTTGTAATGTCTGCAAGTGGACATATGGACCGCATTGAGGCCTTCGTTGGAAACGGGATTTCTTCATTTCATGCTAGACAGAAGAATTCTCAGTAACTTCTTTGTGCTGTGTGTATTCAACTCACAGAGTGGAACGTCCCTTTACACAGAGCAGATTTGAAACACTCTTTTTGTGGAGTTTGCAAGTGGAGATTTCAAGCGATTTGATGCCAACAGTAGAAAAGGAAATATCTTCAAATAAAAACTAGAGAGAATCATACTCAGAAAGTGCTTTGTGATGTGTGCGTTCAACTCACAGAGTTTAACCTTTCTACTCATAGAGCAGTTTGGAAACACACTCTTTGTAAATCCTGCAAGTGGATATTTGCACTTCTTACAGGTATTCGTTGGAAACGGGATTTCTTCATTCAGTTCTAGACAGAAGAATTCTCAGTAACTTCTTTTTGTTATGTGGATTCAACTCACAGAGTTGAACCTTCGTTTTGACAGAGCAGATTTGAAACACTCTTGCTGTGGAATTTTGAGGTGGAGATTTCAAGCGATTTGAGGACAATTGCGGAAAAGGAAATATCTTCGTATAAAAACCAGACAGAATCATACTCAGAAAGTGCTTTGTGATGTGTGTGTTCAACTCACGGAGTTTAACCTTTCTTTTTATAGAGCAGTTTGGAAATACTCTGTTTGTAAAGTCTGCAAGTGGATACTTGGACCTTTTTGAGGCCTTCGTTGGAAACGGGATTTTGTCATATAATGCTAGACGGAAGAATTCTCAGTAAATTCTTTGTGTTGTGTGCATTGAACTCACAGAGTGGAACGTCCCTTTAGACTGAGCAGATTTGAAACACTCTTTTTGTGGAATTTGCAAGTGGAGATTTCAAGCGATTTGATGCCAATAGTAGAAAAGGAAATATCTTCAAATAAAAACTAGACAGAATCATTCTCAGAAAATTCTTTGTGATGTGTGCATTCAACTCACATCCTTTAACCTTTCTTTTCATAAAGCAGTTTGGAAACACTCTGTTTGTAAATTCTGCAAGTGGATATATGGACCGCTTTGAGGCCTTCTTTGGAAAAGGGATTTCTTCATTTAATGCTAGACAGAAGAATTCTCATTAACTTCTTTCTGTTGTGTGTATTCAACTCACAGAGTGAAACGTCCCTTTAGACAGAGCAGATTTGAAACACTCTTTTTGTGGAATTTGCAAGTGGATTTTTCAAGCAATTTGATGCCAACAGTAGAAAAGGAAATATCTTCAAATAAAAACTAGACAGAATCATTCTCAGAAACTACTTTGTGATGTGTGCCTTCAACTCACAGAGCTTAACCTTTCTTTTCTCAGAGCAGTTTAGAAACATTCTGCTTGAAATGTCTGCAAGTGGATATTTGGACCTCTTTGAGGCCTTCGTTGCAAACGGTATTTCTTCATTTATGCTAGACAGAAGAGTTCTTAGTAACTTGTTTGTGTTGTGTGTATTCAGCTCACAGAGTTGAACCTTGCTTTACAGACAGCAGATTTCAGACTCTCTTGCTGTGGAATTTTCAGGTGGAGATTTCAAGCGATTTGAGGGCAATTGCAGAAAAGGAAATATCTTAGTGTAAAAACCAGACAGAATCATTCTCAGAAAGTGCTTTGTGATGTGTGCGTTCAACTCACAGAGTTTAACCTTTCTTTTCATAGAGGAGTTTGGAAACACACTGTTTGTAAAGTCTGCAAGGGGATATATGGACCTGTTTGAGGCCTTCGTTGGAAACGGGATTTCTTCATTGAATGCTAGACGGAAGAATTCTCAGTAAATTCTTTGTGTTGTGTGCATTCAACTCACAGAGTGGAACGTCCCTTTAGACAGAGCAGATTTGAAACACTCTTTTTGCGGAATTTGCAAGTGGAGATTTCTAGCCATTTGATGCCAACAGTAGAAAGGGAAATATCTTCAAATAAAAACCAGACAGAATCATTCTCAGAAAATTCTTTGTGATGTGTGCGTTCAACTCACATAATTTAACCTTTCTTTTCATAGAGCAGTTTGGAAACACTCTGTTTGTAAAGTCTGCAAGTGGATATATGGACCGCATTGAGGCCTTCGTTGGAAACGGGATTTCTTCATTTCATGCTAGACAGAAGAATTCTCAGTAACTTCTTTGTGCTGTGTGTATTCAACTCACAGAGTGGAACGTCCCTTTGCACAGAGCAGATTTGAAACACTCTTTTTGTGGAATTTGCAAGTGGAGATTTCAAGCGATTTGATGCCAACAGTAGAAAAGGAAATATCTTCAAATAAAAACTAGACAGAATCATTCTCAGAAACTACTTTGTGATGTGTGCCTTCAACTCACAGAGTTTAACCTTTCTTTTCTTAGAGCAGTTTAGAAACACTCTGCTTGTTATGTCTGCAAGTGGATATTTGGACCTCTTTGAGGCCTTCGTTGCAAACGGGGTTTCTTCCTTTAATGCTAGACTAAGAAGAGTTCTCAGTAACTTTTTTGTGTTGTGTGTATTCAACTCACAGAGTTGAACCTTGCTTTAGAGAGAGCAGATTTGAAACACTCTTGCTGTGGCATTTTCAGGTGGAGATTTCAAGCGATTTGAGGACAATTGCAGAAAAGGAAATATCTTCGTATAATAACCAGACAGAATCATTCTCAGAAAGTGCTTTGTGATGTGTGCGTTCAACTCACAGAGTTTAACTTTTCTTTCCATAGAGGAGTTTGGAAACACACTGTTTGTAAAGTCTGCAAGTGGATATATGGACCTGTTTGAGGCCTTCGTTGGAAACGGGATTTCTTCATTGAATGCTAGACGGAAGAATTCTCAGTAAATTCTTTGTGTGGTGTGCATTCAACTGACAGAGTGGAACGTCCCTTTAGACAGAGCAGATTTGAAACACTCTTTTTGCGGAATTTGCAAGTGGAGATTTCTAGCCATTTGATGCCAACAGTAGAAAGGGAAATATCTTCAAATAAAAACCAGACAGAATCATTCTCAGAAAATTCTTTGTGATGTGTGCGTTCAACTCACATAGTTTAACCTTTCTTTTCATAGAGCAGTTTGGAAACACTCTGTTTGTAAAGTCTGCAAGTGGATATATGGACCGCATTGAGGCCTTCGTTGGAAACGGGATTTCTTCATTTCATGCTAGACAGAAGAATTCTCAGTAACTTCTTTGTGCTGTGTGTATTCAACTCACAGAGTGGAAAGTTCCTTTACACAGAGCAGATTTGAAACACTCTTTTTGTGGAATTTGCAAGTGGAGATTTCAAGCGATTTGATGCCAACAGTAGAAAAGGAAATATCTTCAAATAAAAACTAGACAGAATCATTCTCAGAAACTACTTTGTGATGTGTGCCTTCAACTCACAGAGTTTAACCTTTCTTTTCTTAGAGCAGTTTAGAAACACTCTGCTTGTTATGTCTGCAAGTGGATATTTGGACCTCTTTGAGGCCTTCGTTGCAAACGGGGTTTCTTCCTTTCATGCTAGACTAAGAAGAGTTCTCAGTAACTTTTTTGTGTTGTGTGTATTCAACTCACAGAGTTGAACCTTGCTTTAGAGAGAGCAGATTTGAAACACTCTTGCTGTGGCATTTTCAGGTGGAGATTTCAAGCGTTTTGAGGACAATTGCAGAAAAGGAAATATCTTCGTATAATAACCAGACAGAATCATTCTCAGAAAGTGCTTTGTGATGTGTGCGTTCAACTCACAGAGTTTAACCTTTCTTTTCATAGAGGAGTTTGGAAACACACTGTTTGTAAAGTCTGCAATTGGATATATGGACCTGTTTGAGGCCTTCGTTGGAAACGGGATTTCTTCATTGCATGCTAGACGGAAGAATTCTCAGTAAATTCTTTGTGTTGTGTGCATTCAACTCACAGAGTGGAACGTCCCTTTAGACAGAGCAGATTTGAAACACTCTTTTTGCGGAATTTGCAAGTGGAGATTTCTAGCCATTTGATGCCAACAGTAGAAAGGGAAATATCTTCAAATAAAAACCAGACAGAATCATTCTCAGAAAATTCTTTGTGATGTGTGCGTTCAACTCACATAGTTTAACCTTTCTTTTCATAGAGCAGTTTGGAAACACTCTGTTTGTAAAGTCTGCAAGTGGATATATGGACCGCATTGAGGCCTTCGTTGGAAACGGGATTTCTTCATTTCATGCTAGACAGAAGAACTCTCAGCAACTTCTTTGTGCTGTGTGTATTCAACTCAGAGAGTGGAACGTCCCTTTGCACAGAGCAGATTTGAAACACTCTTTTTGTGGAATTTGCAAGTGGAGATTTCAAGCGATTTGATGCCAACAGTAGAAAAGGAAATATCTTCAAATAAAAACTAGACAGAATCATTCTCAGAAACTACTTTGTGATGTGTGCCTTCAACTCACAGAGTTTAACCTTTCTTTTCTTAGAGCAGTTTAGAAACACTCTGCTTGTTATGTCTGCAAGTGGATATTTGGACCTCTTTGAGGCCTTCGTTGCAAACGGGGTTTCTTCCTTTAATGCTAGACTAAGAAGAGTTCTCAGTAACTTTTTTGTGTTGTGTGTATTCAACTCACAGAGTTGAACCTTGCTTTAGAGAGAGCAGATTTGAAACACTCTTGCTGTGGCATTTTCAGGTGGAGATTTCAAGCGATTTGAGGACAATTGCAGAAAAGGAAATATCTTCGTATAACAACCAGACAGAATCATTCTCAGAAAGTGCTTTGTGATGTGTGCGTTCCACTCACAGAGTTTAACCTTTCTTTTCATAGAGGAGTTTGGAAACACACTGTTTGTAAAGTCTGCAAGTGGATATATGGACCTGTTTGAGGCCTTCGTTGGAAACGGGATTTCTTCATTGAATGCTAGACGGAAGAATTCTCAGTAAATTCTTTGTGTTGTGTGCATTCAACTCACAGAGTGGAACGTCCCTTTAGACAGAGCAGATTTGAAACACTCTTTTTGCGGAATTTGCAAGTGGAGATTTCTAGCCATTTGATGCCAACAGTAGAAAGGGAAATATCTTCAAATAAAAACCAGACAGAATCATTCTCAGAAAATTTTTGTGATGTGTGCGTTCAACTCACAGAGTTTAGCCTTTCTTTTCATAGAGCAGTTTGGAAACACTCTGTTTGTAAAGTCTGCAAGTGGATATATGGACTGCTTTGAGGCCTTCGTTGGAAACGGGATTTCTTCATTTCATGCTAGACAGAAGAATTCTCAATAATTTCTTTGTGTTGTGTGTATTCAACTCACAGAATGGAACGTCCCTTTAGACAGAGCAGATTTGAAACACTCTTTTTGTAGAATTTGCAAGTGGAAATTTCAAGCGATTTGATGCCAACAGTAGAAAAGGAAATATCTTTAAATAAAAACTAGACAGAATTATTCTCAGAAACTACTTTGTGATGTGTGCCATCAACTCACAGAGTTTAACATTTCTTTTCTTAGAGCAGTTTAGAAACACTCTGCTTGCAATGTCTGCAAGTGGATATTTGGACCTCTTTGAGGCCTTCGTTGCAAACGGGATTTCTTCATTTAATGCTAGACTAAGAAGAGTTCTCAGTAACTTTTTTGTGTTGTGTGTATTCAACTCACAGAGTTGAACCTTGCTTTAGAGAGAGCAGATTTGAAACACTCTTGCTGTGGCATTTTCAGGTGGAGATTTCAAGCGATTTGAGGACAATTGCAGAAAAGGAAATATCTTCGTATAACAACCAGACAGAATCATTCTCAGAAAGTGCTTTGTGATGTGTGCGTTCAACTCACAGAGTTTAACCTTTCTTTTCATAGAGGAGTTTGGAAACACACTGTTTGTAAAGTCTGCAATTGGATATATGGACCTGTTTGAGGCCTTCTTTGGAAACGGGATTTCTTCATTGAATGCTAGACGGAAGAATTCTCAGTAAATTCTTTGTGTTGTGTGCATTCAACTCACAGAGTGGAACGTCCCTTTAGACAGAGCAGATTTGAAACACTCTTTTTGCGGAATTTGCAAGTGGAGATTTCTAGCCATTTGATGCCAACAGTAGAAAGGGAAATATCTTCAAATAAAAACCAGACAGAATCATTCTCAGAAAATTCTTTGTGATGTGTGCGTTCAACTCACATAGTTTAACCTTTCTTTTCATAGAGCAGTTTGGAAACACTCTGTTTGTAAAGTCTGCAAGTGGATATATGGACCGCATTGAGGCCCTTCGTTGGAAACGGGATTTCTTCATTTCATGCTAGACAGAAGAATTCTCAGTAACTTCTTTGTGCTGTGTGTATTCAACTCACAGAGTGGAACGTCCCTTTGCACAGAGCAGATTTGAAACACTCTTTTTGTGGAGTTTGCAAGTGGAGATTTCAAGCGATTTGATGCCAACAGTAGAAAAGGAAATATCTTCAAATAAAAACTAGACAGAATCATTCTCAGAAACTACTTTGTGATGTGTGCCTTCAACTCACAGAGTTTAACCTTTCTTTTCTTAGAGCAGTTTAGAAACACTCTGCTTGTTATGTCTGCAAGTGGATATTTGGACCTCTTTGAGGCCTTCGTTGCAAACGGGGTTTCTTCCTTTCATGCTAGACTAAGAAGAGTTCTCAGTAACTTTTTTGTGTTGTGTGTATTCAACTCACAGAGTTGAACCTTGCTTTAGAGAGAGCAGATTTGAAACACTCTTGCTGTGGCATTTTCAGGTGGAGATTTCAAGCGATTTGAGGACAATTGCAGAAAAGGAAATATCTTCGTATAATAACCAGACAGAATCATTCTCAGAAAGTGCTTTGTGATGTGTGCGTTCAACTCACAGAGTTTAACCTTTCTTTTCATAGAGGAGTTTGGAAACACACTGTTTGTAAAGTCTGCAATTGGATATATGGACCTGTTTGAGGCCTTCGTTGGAAACGGGATTTCTTCATTGCATGCTAGACGGAAGAATTCTCAGTAAATTCTTTGTGTTGTGTGCATTCAACTCACAGAGTGGAACGTCCCTTTAGACAGAGCAGATTTGAAACACTCTTTTTGCGGAATTTGCAAGTGGAGATTTCTAGCCATTTGATGCCAACAGTAGAAAGGGAAATATCTTCAAATAAAAACCAGACAGAATCATTCTCAGAAAATTCTTTGTGATGTGTGCGTTCAACTCACATAGTTTAACCTTTCTTTTCATAGAGCAGTTTGGAAACACTCTGTTTGTAAAGTCTGCAAGTGGATATATGGACCGCATTGAGGCCTTCGTTGGAAACGGGATTTCTTCATTTCATGCTAGACAGAAGAATTCTCAGCAACTTCTTTGTGCTGTGTGTATTCAACTCACAGAGTGGAACGTCCCTTTACACAGAGCAGATTTGAAACACTCTTTTTGTGGAGTTTGCAAGTGAAGATTTCAAGCGATTTGATGCCAACAGTAGAAAAGGAAATATCTTCAAATAAAAACTAGACAGAATCATTCTCAGAAACTACTTTGTGATGTGTGCCTTCAACTCACAGAGTTTAACCTTTCTTTTCTTAGAGCAGTTTAGAAACACTCTGCTTGTTATGTCTGCAAGTGGATATTTGGACCTCTTTGAGGCCTTCGTTGCAAACGGGGTTTCTTCCTTTAATGCTAGACTAAGAAGAGTTCTCAGTAACTTTTTTGTGTTGTGTGTATTCAACTCACAGAGTTGAACCTTGCTTTAGAGAGAGCAGATTTGAAACACTCTTGCTGTGGCATTTTCAGGTGGAGATTTCAAACGATTTGAGGACAATTGCAGAAAAGGAAATATCTTCGTATAATAACCAGACAGAATCATTCTCAGAAAGTGCTTTGTGATGTGTGCGTTCAACTCACAGAGTTTAACCTTTCTTTTCATAGAGGAGTTTGGAAACACACTGTTTGTAAAGTCTGCAAGTGGATATATGGACCTGTTTGAGGCCTTCGTTGGAAACGGGATTTCTTCATTGAATGCTAGACGGAAGAATTCTCAGTAAATTCTTTGTGTTGTGTGCATTCAACTCACAGAGTGGAACGTCCCTTTAGACAGAGCAGATTTGAAACACTCTTTTTGCGGAATTTGCAAGTGGAGATTTCTAGCCATTTGATGCCAACAGTAGAAAGGGAAATATCTTCAAATAAAAACCAGACAGAATCATTCTCAGAAAATTCTTTGTGATGTGTGCGTTCAGCACACATAGTTTAACTTTTCTTTTCATAGAGCAGTTTCGAAACACACTGTTTGTAAAATCTGCAAGTGGATATATGTACCGCTTTCAGGCATTCCTTGGAAACGGGATTTCTTCATTGAATGCTAGACAGAAGAATTCTCAGTAACTTCTTTGTGCTGTGTGTATTCAACTCACAGAGTGGAACGTCCCTTTACACAGAGCAGATTTGAAACACCCTTTTTGTGGAGTTTGCAAGTGGAGATTTCAAGCGATTTGATGCCAACAGTAGAAAAGGAAATATCTTCAAATAAAAACAAGACAGAATCATTCTCAGAAACTACTTTGTGATGTGTGCCTTCAACTCACAGAGTTTAACCTTTCTTTTCTTAGAGCAGTTTAGAAACACTCTGCTTGTTATGTCTGCAAGTGGATATTTGGACCTCTTTGAGGCCTTCGTTGCAAACGGGGTTTCTTCCTTTCATGCTAGACTAAGAAGAGTTCTCAGTAACTTTTTTGTGTTGTGTGTATTCAACTCACAGAGTTGAACCTTGCTTTAGAGAGAGCAGATTTGAAACACTCTTGCTGTGGCATTTTCAGGTGGAGATTTCAAGCGATTTGAGGACAATTGCAGAAAAGGAAATATCTTCGTATAATAACCAGACAGAATCATTCTCAGAAAGTGCTTTGTGATGTGTGCGTTCCACTCACAGAGTTTAACCTTTCTTTTCATAGAGGAGTTTGGAAACACACTGTTTGTAAAGTCTGCAAGTGGATATATGGACCTGTTTGAGGCCTTCGTTGGAAACGGGATTTCTTCATTGAATGCTAGACGGAAGAATTCTCAGTAAATTCTTTGTGTTGTGTGCATTCAACTGACAGAGTGGAACGTCCCTTTAGACAGAGCAGATTTGAAACACTCTTTTTGCGGAATTTGCAAGTGGAGATTTCTAGCCATTTGATGCCAACAGTAGAAAGGGAAATATCTTCAAATAAAAACCAGACAGAATCATTCTCAGAAAAATTTTTTGTGATGTGTGCGTTCAACTCACATAGTTTAACCTTTCTTTTCATAGAGCAGTTTGGAAACACTCTGTTTGTAAAGTCTGTAAGTGGATATATGGACCGCATTGAGGCCTTCGTTGGAAACGGGATTTCTTCATTTCATGCTAGACAGAAGAATTCTCAGTAGCTTCTTTGTGCTGTGTGTATTCAACTCACAGAGTGGAACGTCCCTTTACACAGAGCAGATTTGAAACACTCTTTTTGTTGAATTTGCAAGTGGAGATTTCAAGCGATTTGATGCCAACAGTAGAAAAGGAAATATCTTCAAATAAAAACTAGACAGAATCATTCTCAGAAACTACTTTGTGATGTGTGCCTTCAACTCACAGAGTTTAACCTTTCTTTTCTTAGAGCAGTTTAGAAACACTCTGCTTGTTATGTCTGCAAGTGGATATTTGGACCTCTTTGAGGCCTTCGTTGCAAACGGGGTTTCTTCCTTTCATGCTAGACTAAGAAAGAGTTCTCAGTAACTTTTTTGTGTTGTGTGTATTCAACTCACAGAGTTGAACCTTGCTTTAGAGAGAGCAGATTTGAAACACTCTTGCTGTGGCATTTTCAGGTGGAGATTTCAAGCGATTTGAGGACAATTGCAGAAAAGGAAATATCTTCGTATAATAACCAGACAGAATCATTCTCAGAAAGTGCTTTGTGATGTGTGCGTTCAACTCACAGAGTTTAACCTTTCTTTTCATAGAGGAGTTTGGAAACACACTGTTTGTAAAGTCTGCAATTGGATATATGGACCTGTTTGAGGCCTCCGTTGGAAACGGGATTTCTTCATTGAATGCTAGACGGAAGAATTCTCAGTAAATTCTTTGTGTTGTGTGCATTCAACTCACAGAGTGGAACGTCCCTTTAGACAGAGCAGATTTGAAACACTCTTTTTGCGGAATTTGCAAGTGGAGATTTCTAGCCATTTGATGCCAACAGTAGAAAGGGAAATATCTTCAAATAAAAACCAGACAGAATCATTCTCAGAAAATTCTTTGTGATGTGTGCGTTCAACTCACATAGTTTAACCTTTCTTTTCATAGAGCAGTTTGGAAACACTCTGTTTGTAAAGTCTGCAAGTGGATATATGGACCGCATTGAGGCCTTCGTTGGAAACGGGATTTCTTCATTTCATGCTAGACAGAAGAATTCTCAGTAACTTCTTTGTGCTGTGTGTATTCAACTCACAGAGTGGAACGTCCCTTTGCACAGAGCAGATTTGAAACACTCTTTTTGTGGAGTTTGCAAGTGGAGATTTCAAGCGATTTGATGCCAACAGTAGAAAAGGAAATATCTTCAAATAAAAACTAGACAGAATCATTCTCAGAAACTACTTTGTGATGTGTGCCTTCAACTCACAGAGTTTAACCTTTCTTTTCTTAGAGCAGTTTAGAAACACTCTGCTTGTTATGTCTGCAAGTGGATATTTGGACCTCTTTGAGGCCTTCGTTGCAAACGGGGTTTCTTCCTTTCATGCTAGACTAAGAAGAGTTCTCAGTAACTTTTTTGTGTTGTGTGTATTCAACTCACAGAGTTGAACCTTGCTTTAGAGAGAGCAGATTTGAAACACTCTTGCTGTGGCATTTTCAGGTGGAGATTTCAAGCGTTTTGAGGACAATTGCAGAAAAGGAAATATCTTCGTATAATAACCAGACAGAAATCATTCTCAGAAAGTGCTTTGTGATGTGTGCGTTCCACTCACAGAGTTTAACCTTTCTTTTCATAGAGGAGTTTGGAAACACACTGTTTGTAAAGTCTGCAATTGGATATATGGACCTGTTTGAGGCCTTCGTTGGAAACGGGATTTCTTCATTGAATGCTAGACGGAAGAATTCTCAGTAAATTCTTTGTGTTGTGTGCATTCAACTCACAGAGTGGAACGTCCCTTTAGACAGAGCAGATTTGAAACACTCTTTTTGCGGAATTTGCAAGTGGAGATTTCTAGCCATTTGATGCCAACAGTAGAAAGGGAAATATCTTCAAATAAAAACCAGACAGAAATCATTCTCAGAAAATTCTTTGTGATGTGTGCGTTCAACTCACATAGTTTAACCTTTCTTTTCATAGAGCAGTTTGGAAACACTCTGTTTGTAAAGTCTGCAAGTGGATATATAGACCGCATTGAGGCCTTCGTTGGAAACGGGATTTCTTCATTTCATGCTAGACAGAAGAATTCTCAGTAACTTCTTTGTGCTGTGTGTATTCAACTCACAGAGTGGAACGTCCCTTTGCACAGAGCAGATTTGAAACACTCTTTTTGTGGAGTTTGCAAGTGGAGATTTCAAGCGATTTGATGCCAACAGTAGAAAAGGAAATATCTTCAAATAAAAACTAGACAGAATCATTCTCAGAAACTACTTTGTGATGTGTGCCTTCAACTCACAGAGTTTAACCTTTCTTTTCTTAGAGCAGTTTAGAAACACTCTGCTTGTTATGTCTGCAAGTGGATATTTGGACCTCTTTGAGGCCTTCGTTGCAAACGGGGTTTCTTCCTTTCATGCTAGACTAAGAAGAGTTCTCAGTAACTTTTTTGTGTTGTGTGTATTCAACTCACAGAGTTGAACCTTGCTTTAGAGAGAGCAGATTTGAAACACTCTTGCTGTGGCATTTTCAGGTGGAGATTTCAAGCGATTTGAGGACAATTGCAGAAAAGGAAATATCTTCGTATAATAACCAGACAGAATCATTCTCAGAAAGTGCTTTGTGATGTGTGCGTTCCACTCACAGAGTTTAACCTTTCTTTTCATAGAGGAGTTTGGAAACACACTGTTTGTAAACTCTGCAAGTGGATATATGGACCTGTTTGAGGCCTTCGTTGGAAACGGGATTTCTTCATTGAATGCTAGACGGAAGAATTCTCAGTAAATTCTTTGTGTTGTGTGCATTCAACTCACAGAGTGGAACGTCCCTTTAGACAGAGCAGATTTGAAACACTCTTTTTGCGGAATTTGCAAGTGGAGATTTCTAGCCATTTGATGCCAACAGTAGAAAGGGAAATATCTTCAAATAAAAACCAGACAGAATCATTCTCAGAAAATTCTTTGTGATGTGTGCGTTCAACTCACATAGTTTAACCTTTCTTTTCATAGAGCAGTTTGCAAACACTCTGTTTGTAAAGTCTGCAAGTGGATATATGGACCGCATTGAGGCCTTCGTTGGAAACGGGATTTCTTCATTTCATGCTAGACAGAAGAATTCTCAGTAACTTCTTTGTGCTGTGTGTATTCAACTCACAGAGTGGAACGTCCCTTTACACAGAGCAGATTTGAAACACTCTTTTTGTGGAGTTTGCAAGTGGAGATTTCAAGCGATTTGATGCCAACAGTAGAAAAGGAAATATCTTCAAATAAAAACTAGACAGAATCATTCTCAGAAACTACTTTGTGATGTGTGCCTTCAACTCACAGAGTTTAACCTTTCTTTTCTTAGAGCAGTTTAGAAACACTCTGCTTGTTATGTCTGCAAGTGGATATTTGGACCTCTTTGAGGCCTTCGTTGCAAACGGGGTTTCTTCCTTTCATGCTAGACTAAGAAGAGTTCTCAGTAACTTTTTTGTGTTGTGTGTATTCAACTCACAGAGTTGAACCTTGCTTTAGAGAGAGCAGATTTGAAACACTCTTGCTGTGGCATTTTCAGGTGGAGATTTCAAGCGATTTGAGGACAATTGCAGAAAAGGAAATATCTTCGTATAATAACCAGACAGAATCATTCTCAGAAAGTGCTTTGTGATGTGTGCGTTCAACTGACAGAGTTTAACCTTTCTTTTCATAGAGGAGTTTGGAAACACACTGTTTGTAAAGTCTGCAAGTGGATATATGGACCTCTTTGAGGCCTTCGTTGGAAACGGGATTTCTTCATTGAATGCTAGACGGAAGAATTCTCAGTAAATTCTTTGTGTTGTGTGCATTCAACTCACAGAGTGGAACGTCCCTTTAGACAGAGCAGATTTGAAACACTCTTTTTGCGGAATTTGCAAGTGGAGATTTCTAGCCATTTGATGCCAACAGTAGAAAGGGAAATATCTTCAAATAAAAACCTGACAGAATCATTCTCAGAAAATTCTTTGTGATGTGTGCGTTCAACTCACATAGTTTAACCTTTCTTTTCATAGAGCAGTTTGGAAACACTCTGTTTGTAAAGTCTGCAAGTGGATATATGGACCGCATTGAGGCCTTCGTTGGAAACGGGATTTCTTCATTTCATGCTAGACAGAAGAATTCTCAGTAACTTCTTTGTGCTGTGTGTATTCAACTCACAGAGTGGAACGTCCCTTTGCACAGAGCAGATTTGAAACACTCTTTTTGTGGAATTTGCAAGTGGAGATTTCAAGCGATTTTGATGCCAACAGTAGAAAAGGAAATATCTTCAAATAAAAACTAGACAGAATCATTCTCAGAAACTACTTTGTGATGTGTGCCTTCAACTCACAGAGTTTAACCTTTCTTTTCTTAGAGCAGTTTAGAAACACTCTGCTTGTTATGTCTGCAAGTGGATATTTGGACCTCTTTGAGGCCTTCGTTGCAAACGGGGTTTCTTCCTTTAATGCTAGACTAAGAAGAGTTCTCAGTAACTTTTCTGTGTTGTGTGTATTCAACTCACAGAGTTGAACCTTGCTTTAGAGAGAGCAGATTTGAAACACTCTTGCTGTGACATTTTCAGGTGGAGATTTCAAGCGATTTGAGGACAATTGCAGAAAAGGAAATATCTTTGTATAACAACCAGACAGAATCATTCTCAGAAAGTGCTTTGTGATGTGTGCATTCCACTCACAGAGTTTAACCTTTCTTTTCATAGAGGAGTTTGGAAACACACTGTTTGTAAAGTCTGCAATTGGATATATGGACCTGTTTGAGGCCTTCGTTGGAAACGGGATTTCTTCATTGAATGCTAGACGGAAGAATTCTCAGTAAATTCTTTGTGTTGTGTGCATTCAACTCACAGAGTGGAACGTCCCTTTAGACAGAGCAGATTTGAAACACTCTTTTTGCGGAATTTGCAAGTGGAGATTTCTAGCCATTTGATGCCAACAGTAGAAAGGGAAATATCTTCAAATAAAAACCAGACAGAATCATTCTCAGAAAATTCTTTGTGATGTGTGCGTTCAACTCACATAGTTTAACCTTTCTTTTCATAGAGCAGTTTGGAAACACTCTGTTTGTAAAGTCTGCAAGTGGATATATGGACCGCATTGAGGCCTTCGTTGGAAACGGGATTTCTTCATTTCATGCGAGACAGAAGAATTCTCAGTAACTTCTTTGTGCTGTGTGTATTCAACTCACAGAGTGGAACGTCCCTTTACACAGAGCAGATTTGAAACACTCTTTTTGTGGAGTTTGCAAGTGGAGATTTCAAGCGATTTGATGCCAGCAGTAGAAAAGGAAATATCTTCAAATAAAAACTAGACAGAATCATTCTCAGAAACTACTTTGTGATGTGTGCCTTCAACTCACAGAGTTTAACCTTTCTTTTCTTAGAGCAGTTTAGAAACACTCTGCTTGTTATGTCTGCAAGTGGATATTTGGACCTCTTTGAGGCCTTCGTTGCAAACGGGGTTTCTTCCTTTCATGCTAGACTAAGAAGAGTTCTCAGTAACTTTTTTGTGTTGTGTGTATTCAACTCACAGAGTTGAACCTTGCTTTAGAGAGAGCAGATTTGAAACACTCTTGCTGTGGCATTTTCAGGTGGAGATTTCAAGCGATTTGAGGACAATTGCAGAAAAGGAAATATCTTCGTATAATAACCAGACAGAAATCATTCTCAGAAAGTGCTTTGTGATGTGTGCGTTGAACTCACAGAGTTTAACCTTTCTTTTCATAGAGGAGTTTGGAAACACACTGTTTGTAAAGTCTGCAAGTGGATATATGGACCTGTTTGAGGCCTTCGTTGGAAACGGGATTTCTTCATTGAATGCTAGACGGAAGAATTCTCAGTAAATTCTTTGTGTTGTGTGCATTCAACTCACAGAGTGGAACGTCCCTTTAGACAGAGCAGATTTGAAACACTCTTTTTGCGGAATTTGAAAGTGGAGATTTCTAGCCATTTGATGCCAACAGTAGAAAGGGAAATATCTTCAAATAAAAACCAGACAGAATCATTCTCAGAAAATTCTTTGTGATGTGTGCGTTCAACTCACATAGTTTAACCTTTCTTTTCATAGAGCAGTTTGGAAACACTCTGTTTGTAAAGTCTGCAAGTGGATATATGGACCGCATTGAGGCCTTCGTTGGAAACGGGATTTCTTCATTTCATGCTAGACAGAAGAATTCTCAGTATCTTCTTTGTGCTGTGTGTACTCAACTCACAGAGTGGAACGTCCCTTTGCACAGAGCAGATTTGAAACACTCTTTTTGTGGAGTTTGCAAGTGGAGATTTCAAGCGATTTGATGCCAACAGTAGAAAAGGAAATATCTTCAAATAAAAACTAGACAGAATCATTCTCAGAAACTACTTTGTGATGTCTGCCTTCAACTCACAGAGTTTAACCTTTCTTTTCTTAGAGCAGTTTAGAAACACTCTGCTTGTTATGTCTGCAAGTGGATATTTGGACCTCTTTGAGGCCTTCGTTGCAAACGGGGTTTCTTCCTTTAATGCTAGACTAAGAAGAGTTCTCAGTAACTTTTTTGTGTTGTGTGTATTCAACTCACATAGTTGAACCTTGCTTTAGAGAGAGCAGATTTGAAACACTCTTGCTGTGGCATTTTCAGGTGGAGATTTCAAGCGATTTGAGGACAATTGCAGAAAAGGAAATATCTTCGTATAATAACCAGACAGAATCATTCTCAGAAAGTGCTTTGTGATGTGTGCGTTCAACTCACAGTAGTTTAACCTTTCTTTTCATAGAGGAGTTTGGAAACACACTGTTTGTAAAGTCTGCAATTGGATATATGGACCTGTTTGAGGCCTTCTTTGGAAACGGGATTTCTTCATTGAATGCTAGACGGAAGAATTCTCAGTAAATTCTTTGTGTTGTGTGCATTCAACTCACAGAGTGGAACGTCCCTTTAGACAGAGCAGATTTGAAACACTCTTTTTGCGGAATTTGCAAGTGGAGATTTCTAGCCATTTGATGCCAACAGTAGAAAGGGAAATATCTTCAAATAAAAACCAGACAGAATCATTCACAGAAAATTCTTTGTGATGTGTGCGTTCAACTCACATAGTTTAACCTTTCTTTTCATAGAGCAGTTTGGAAACACTCTGTTTGTAAAGTCTGCAAGTGGATATATGGACCGCATTGAGGCCTTCGTTGGAAACGGGATTTCTTCATTTCATGCTAGACAGAAGAATTCTCAGTAACTTCTTTGTGTTGTGTGTATTCAACTGACAGATTGGAATGTCCCATTACACAGAGCAGTTTTGAAACACTCTTTTTGTGGAATTTGAAAGTGGAGAATTCAAGCGATTTGATGCCAAAAGTTGGAAAGGAAATATCTTCAAATAAAAATTAGACAGAAGCATTCTCAAAAACTACTTTGTGATGTGTGCCTTCAACTCACAGAGTTTAACCTTTCTTTTCTTAGAGCAGTTTAGAAACACTCTGCTTGTTATGTCTGCAAGTGGATATTTGGACCTCTTTGAGGCCTTCGTTGCAAACGGGGTTTCTTCCTTTCATGCTAGACTAAGAAGAGTTCTCAGTAACTTTTTTGTGTTGTGTGTATTCAACTCACAGAGTTGAACCTTGCTTTAGAGAGAGCAGATTTGAAACACTCTTGATGTGGCATTTTCAGGTGGAGATTTCAAGCGATTTGAGGACAATTGCAGAAAAGGAAATATCTTCGTATAATAACCAGACAGAATCATTCTCAGAAAGTGCTTTGTGATGTGTGCGTTCAACTCACAGAGTTTAACCTTTCTTTTCATAGAGGAGTTTGGAAACACACTGTTTGTAAAGTCTGCAAGTGGATATATGGACCTGTTTGAGGCCTTCGTTGGAAACGGGATTTCTTCATTGAATGCTAGACGGAAGAATTCTCAGTAAATTCTTTGTGTTGTGTGCATTCAACTCACAGAGTGGAACGTCCCTTTAGACAGAGCAGATTTGAAACACTCTTTTTGCGGAATTTGCAAGTGGAGATTTCTAGCCATTTGATGCCAACAGTAGAAAGGGAAATATCTTCAAATAAAAACCAGACAGAATCATTCTCAGAAAATTCTTTGTGATGTGTGCGCTCAACTCACATAGTTTAACCTTTCTTTTCATAGAGCAGTTTGGAAACACTCTGTTTGTAAAGTCTGCAAGTAGATATATGGACCGCTTTGAGGCCTTCGTTGGAAACGGGATTTCTTCATTTCGTGCTAGACAGAAGAATTCTCAGTAACTTCTTTGTGCTGTGTGTATTCAACTCACAGAGTGGAACGTCCCTTTACACAGAGCAGATTTGAAACACTCTTTTTGTGGAGTTTGCAAGTGGAGATTTCAAGCGATTTGATGCCAACAGTAGAAAAGGAAATATCTTCAAATAAAAACTAGACAGAATCATTCTCAGAAACTACTTTGTGATGTGTGCCTTCAACTCACAGAGTTTAACCTTTCTTTTCTTAGAGCAGTTTAGAAACACTCTGCTTGTTATGTCTGCAAGTGGATATTTGGACCTCTTTGAGGCCTTCGTTGCAAACGGGGTTTCTTCCTTTCATGCTAGACTAAGAAGAATTCTCAGTAACTTCTTTGTGCTGTGTGTATTCAACTCACAGAGTTGAACCTTGCTTTAGAGAGAGCAGATTTGAAACACTCTTGCTGTGGCATTTTCAGGTGGAGATTTCAAGTGATTTGAGGAAAATTGCAGAAAAGGGAATATCTTCGTATAATAACCAGACAGAATCATTCTCAGAAAGTGCTTTGTGATGTGTGCGTTCCACTCACAGAGTTTAACCTTTCTTTTCATAGAGGAGTTTGGAAACACACTGTTTGTAAACTCTGCAAGTGGATATATGGACCTGTTTGAGGCCTTCGTTGGAAACGGGATTTCTTCATTGAATGCTAGACGGAAGAATTCTCAGTAAATTCTTTGTGTTGTGTGCATTCAACTCACAGAGTGGAACGTCCCTTTAGAAAGAGCAGATTTGAAACACTCTTTTTGCGGAATTTGCAAGTGGAGATTTCTAGCCATTTGATGCCAACAGTAGAAAGGGAAATATCTTCAAATAAAAACCAGACAGAAATCATTCTCAGCAAAATTCTTTGTGATGTGTGCGTTCAACTCACATAGTTTAACCTTTCTTTTCATAGAGCAGTTTGGAAACACTCTGTTTGTAAAGTCTGCAAGTGGATATATGGACCGCATTGAGGCCTTCGTTGGAAACGGGATTTCTTCATTTCATGCTAGACAGAAGAATTCTCAGTAACTTCTTTGTGCTGTGTGTATTCAACTCACAGAGTGGAACGTCCCTTTGCACAGAGCAGATTTGAAACACTCTTTTTGTGGAGTTTGCAAGTGGAGATTTCAAGCGATTTGATGCCAACAGTAGAAAAGGAAATATCTTCAAATAAAAACTAGACAGAATCATTCTCAGAAACTACTTTGTGATGTGTGCCTTCAACTCACAGAGTTTAACCTTTCTTTTCTTAGAGCAGTTTAGAAACACTCTGCTTGTTATGTCTGCAAGTGGATATTTGGACCTCTTTGAGGCCTTCGTTGCAAACGGGGTTTCTTCCTTTCATGCTAGACTAAGAAGAGTTCTCAGTAACTTTCTTGTGTTGTGTGTATTCAACTCACAGAGTTGAACCTTGCTTTAGAGAGAGCAGATTTGAAACACTCTTGCTGTGGCATTTTCAGGTGGAGATTTCAAGCGATTTGAGGACAATTGCAGAAAAGGAAATATCTTCGTATAATAACCAGACAGAATCATTCTCAGAAAGTGCTTTGTGATGTGTGCGTTCCACTCACAGTAGTTTAACCTTTCTTTTCATAGAGGAGTTTGGAAACACACTGTTTGTAAACTCTGCAAGTGGATATATGGACCTGTTTGAGGCCTTCGTTGGAAACGGGATTTCTTCATTGAATGCTAGACGGAAGAATTCTCAGTAAATTCTTTGTGTTGTGTGGATTCAACTCACAGAGTGGAACGTCCCTTTAGACAGAGCAGATTTGAAACACTCTTTTTGCGGAATTTGCAAGTGGAGATTTCTAGCCATTTGATGCCAACAGTAGAAAGGGAAATATCTTCAAATAAAAACCAGACAGAATCATTCTCAGAAAATTCTTTGTGATGTGTGCGTTCAACTCACATAGTTTAACCTTTCTTTTCATAGAGCAGTTTGGAAACACTCTGTTTGTAAAGTCTGCAAGTGGATATATGGACCGCATTGAGGCCTTCGTTGGAAACGGGATTTCTTCATTTCATGCTAGACAGAAGAATTCTCAGTAACTTCTTTGTGCTGTGTGTATTCAACTCACAGAGTGGAACGTCCCTTTACACAGAGCAGATTTGAAACACTCTTTTTGTGGAGTTTGCAAGTGGAGATTTCAAGCGATTTGATGCCAGCAGTAGAAAAGGAAATATCTTCAAATAAAAACTAGACAGAATCATTCTCAGAAACTACTTTGTGATGTGTGCCTTCAACTCACAGAGTTTAACCTTTCTTTTCTTAGAGCAGTTTAGAAACACTCTGCTTGTTATGTCTGCAAGTGGATATTTGGACCTCTTTGAGGCCTTCGTTGCAAACGGGGTTTCTTCCTTTAATGCTAGACTAAGAAGAGTTCTCAGTAACTTTTTTGTGTTGTGTGTATTCAACTCACAGAGTTGAACCTTGCTTTAGAGAGAGCAGATTTGAAACACTCTTGCTGTGGCATTTTCAGGTGGAGATTTCAAGCGATTTGAGGACAATTGCAGAAAAGGAAATATCTTCGTATAATAACCAGACAGAATCATTCTCAGAAAGTGCTTTGTGTTGTGTGCGTTCAACTCACAGAGTTTAACCTTTCTTTTCATAGAGGAGTTTGGAAACACACTGTTTGTAAAGTCTGCAATTGGATATATGGACCTGTTTGAGGCCTTCGTTGGAAACGGGATTTCTTCATTGAATGCTAGACGGAAGAATTCTCAGTAAATTCTTTGTGTTGTGTGCATTCAACTCACAGAGTGGAACGTCCCTTTAGACAGAGCAGAATTGAAACACTCTTTTTGCGGAATTTGCAAGTGGAGATTTCTAGCCATTTGATGCCAACAGTAGAAAGGGAAATATCTTCAAATAAAAACCAGACAGAATCATTCTCAGAAAATTCTTTGTGATGTGTGCGTTCAACTCACATAGTTTAACCTTTCTTTTCATAGAGCAGTTTGGAAACACTCTGTTTGTAAAGTCTGCAAGTGGATATATGGACCGCATTGAGGCCTTCGTTGGAAACGGGATTTCTTCATTTCATGCTAGACAGAAGAATTCTCAGTAACTTCTTTGTGCTGTGTGTATTCAACTCACAGAGTGGAACGTCCCTTTGCACAGAGCGGATTTGAAACACTCTTTTTGTGGAGTTTGCAAGTGGAGATTTCAAGCGATTTGATGCCAACAGTAGAAAAGGAAATATCTTCAAATAAAAACTAGACAGAATCATTCTCAGAAACTACTTTGTGATGTGTGCCTTCAACTCACAGAGTTTAACCTTTCTTTTCTTAGAGCAGTTTAGAAACACTCTGCTTGTTATGTCTGCAAGTGGATATTTGGACCTCTTTGAGGCCTTCGTTGCAAACGGGGTTTCTTCCTTTCATGCTAGACTAAGAAGAGTTCTCAGTAACTTTTTTCTGTTGTGTGTATTCAACTCACAGAGTTGAACCTTGCTTTAGAGAGAGCAGATTTGAAACACTCTTGCTGTGGCATTTTCAGGTGGAGATTTCAAGCGATTTGAGGACAATTGCAGAAAAGGAAATATCTTCGTATAATAACCAGACAGAATCATTCTCAGAAAGTGCTTTGTGATGTGTGCGTTCAACTCACAGAGTTTAACCTTTCTTTTCATAGAGGAGCTTGGAAACACACTGTTTGTAAAGTCTGCAATTGGATATACAGACCTGTTTGAGGCCTCCGTTGGAAACGGGATTTCTTCATTGAATGCTAGACGGAAGAATTCTCAGTAAATTCTTTGTGTTGTGTGCATTCAACTGACAGAGTGGAACGTCCCTTTAGACAGAGCAGATTTGAAACACTCTTTTTGCGGAATTTGCAAGTGGAGATTTCTAGCCATTTGATGCCAACAGTAGAAAGGGAAATATCTTCAAATAAAAACCAGACAGAATCATTCTCAGAAAATTCTTTGTGATGTGTGCGTTCAACTCACATAGTTTAACCTTTCTTTTCATAGAGCAGTTTGGAAACACTCTGTTTGTAAAGTCTGCAACTGGATATATGGACCGCATTGAGGCCTTCGTTGGAAACGGGATTTCTTCATTTCATGCTAGACAGAAGAATTCTCAGTAACTTCTTTGTGCTGTGTGTATTCAACTCACAGAGTGGAACGTCCCTTTGCACAGAGCAGATTTGAAACACTCTTTTTGTGGAGTTTGCAAGTGGAGATTTCAAGCGATTTGATGCCAACAGTAGAAAAGGAAATATCTTCAAATAAAAACTAGACAGAATCATTCTCAGAAACTACTTTGTGATGTGTGCCTTCAACTCACAGAGTTTAACCTTTCTTTTCTTAGAGCAGTTTAGAAACACTCTGCTTGTTATGTCTGCAAGTGGATATTTGGACCTCTTTGAGGCCTTCGTTGCAAACGGGGTTTCTTCCTTTCATGCTAGACTAAGAAGAGTTCTCAGTAACTTTTTTGTGTTGTGTGTATTCAACTCACAGAGTTGAACCTTGCTTTAGAGAGAGCAGATTTGAAACACTCTTGCTGTGGCATTTTCAGGTGGAGATTTCAAGCGATTTGAGGACAATTGCAGAAAAGGAAATATCTTCGTATAATAACCAGACAGAATCATTCTCAGAAAGTGCTTTGTGATGTGTGCGTTCAACTCACAGAGTTTAACCTTTCTTTTCATAGAGGAGTTTGGAAACACACTGTTTGTAAAGTCTGCAATTGGATATATGGACCTGTTTGAGGCCTTCGTTGGAAACGGGATTTCTTCATTGAATGCTAGACGGAAGAATTCTCAGTAAATTCTTTGTGTTGTGTGCATTCAACTCACAGAGTGGAACGTCCCTTTAGACAGAGCAGATTTGAAACACTCTTTTTGCGGAATTTGCAAGTGGAGATTTCTAGCCATTTGATGCCAACAGTAGAAAGGGAAATATCTTCAAATAAAAACCAGACAGAATCATTCTCAGAAAATTCTTTGTGATGTGTGCGTTCAAATCACATAGTTTAACCTTTCTTTTCATAGAGCAGTTTGGAAACACTCTGTTTGCAAAGTCTGCAAGTGGATATATGGACCGCATTGAGGCCTTCGTTGGAAACGGGATTTCTTCATTTCATGCTAGACAGAAGAATTCTCAGTAACTTCTTTGTGCTGTGTGTATTCAACTCACAGAGTGGAATGTCCCTTTACACAGAGCAGATTTGAAACACTCTTTTTGTGGAGTTTGCAAGTGGAGATTTCAAGCGATTTGATGCCAACAGTAGAAAAGGAAATATCTTCAAATAAAAACTAGACAGAATCATTCTCAGAAACTACTTTGTGATGTGTGCCTTCAACTCACAGAGTTTAACCTTTCTTTTCTTAGAGCAGCTTAGAAACACTCTGCTTGTTATGTCTGCAAGTGGATATTTGGACCTCTTTGAGGCCTTCGTTGCAAACGGGGTTTCTTCCTTTAATGCTAGACTAAGAAGAGTTCTCAGTAACTTTTTTGTGTTGTGTGTATTCAACTCACAGAGTTGAACCTTGCTTTAGAGAGAGCAGATTTGAAACACTCTTGCTGTGGCATTTTCAGGTGGAGATTTCAAGCGATTTGAGGACAATTGCAGAAAAGGAAATATCTTCGTATAATAACCAGACAGAATCATTCTCAGAAAGTGCTTTGTGATGTGTGCGTTCAACTCACAGAGTTTAACCTTTCTTTTCATAGAGGAGTTTGGAAACACACTGTTTGTAAAGTCTGCAAGTGGATATATGGACCTGTTTGAGGCCTTCGTTGGAAACGGGATTTCTTCATTGAATGCTAGACGGAAGAATTCTCAGTAAATTCTTTGTGTTGTGTGCATTCAACTCACAGAGTGGAACGTCCCTTTAGACAGAGCAGATTTGAAACACTCTTTTTGCGGAATTTGCAAGTGGAGATTTCTAGCCATTTGATGCCAACAGTAGAAAGGGAAATATCTTCAAATAAAAACCAGACAGAATCATTCTCAGAAAATTCTTTGTGATGTGTGCGTTCAACTCACATAGTTTAACCTTTCTTTTCATAGAGCAGTTTGGAAACACTCTGTTTGTAAAGTCTGCAAGTGGATATATGGACCGCATTGAGGCCTTCGTTGGAAACGGGATTTCTTCATTTCATGCTAGACAGAAGAATTCTCAGTAACTTCTTTGTGCTGTGTGTATTCAACTCACAAGAGTGGAACGTTCCTTTACACAGAACAGATTTGAAACACTCTTTTTGTGGAATTTGCAAGTGGAGATTTCAAGCGATTTGATGCCAACAGTAGAAAAGGAAATATCTTCAAATAAAAACTAGACAGAATCATTCTCAGAAACTACTTTGTGATGTGTGCCTTCAACTCACAGAGTTTAACCTTTCTTTTCTTAGAGCAGTTTAGAAACACTCTGCTTGTTATGTCTGCAAGTGGATATTTGGACCTCTTTGAGGCCTTCGTTGCAAACGGGGTTTCTTCCTTTCATGCTAGACTAAGAAGAGTTCTCAGTAACTTTTTTGTGTTGTGTGTATTCAACTCACAGAGTTGAACCTTGCTTTAGAGAGAGCAGATTTGAAACACTCTTGCTGTGGCATTTTCAGGTGGAGATTTCAAGCGATTTGAGGACAATTGCAGAAAAGGAAATATCTTCGTATAATAACCAGACAGAATCATTCTCAGAGAGTGCTTTGTGATGTGTGCGTTCAACTCACAGAGTTTAACCTTTCTTTTCATAGAGGAGTTTGGAAACACACTGTTTGTAAAGTCTGCAATTGGATATATGGACCTGTTTGAGGCCTTCGTTGGAAACGGGATTTCTTCATTGACTGCTAGACGGAAGAATTCTCAGTAAATTCTTTGTGTTGTGTGCATTCAACTCACAGAGTGGAACGTCCCTTTAGACAGAGCAGATTTGAAACACTCTTTTTGCGGAATTTGCAAGTGGAGATTTCTAGCCATTTGATGCCAACAGTAGAAAGGGAAATATCTTCAAATAAAAACCAGACAGAATCATTCTCAGAAAATTCTTTGTGATGTGTGCGTTCAACTCACATAGTTTAACCTTTCTTTTCATAGAGCAGTTTGGAAACACTCTGTTTGTAAAGTCTGCAAGTGGATATATGGACCGCATTGAGGCCTTCGTTGGAAACGGGATTTCTTCATTTCATGCTAGACAGAAGAATTCTCAGTAACTTCTTTGTGCTGTGTGTATTCAACTCACAGAGTGGAACATCCCTTTGCACAGAGCAGATTTGAAACACTCTTTTTGTGGAGTTTGCAAGTGGAGATTTCAAGCGATTTGATGCCAACAGTAGAAAAGGAAATATCTTCAAATAAAAACTAGACAGAATCATTCTCAGAAACTACTTTGTGATGTGTGCCTTCAACTCACAGAGTTTAACCTTTCTTTTCTTAGAGCAGTTTAGAAACACTCTGCTTGTTATGTCTGCAAGTGGATATTTGGACCTCTTTGAGGCCTTCGTTGCAAACGGGGTTTCTTCCTTTAATGCTAGACTAAGAAGAGTTCTCAGTAACTTTTTTGTGTTGTGTGTATTCAACTCACAGAGTTGAACCTTGCTTTAGAGAGAGCAGATTTGAAACACTCTTGCTGTGGCATTTTCAGGTGGAGATTTCAAGCGATTTGAGGACAATTGCAGAAAAGGAAATATCTTCGTATAATAACCAGACAGAATCATTCTCAGAAAGTGCTTTGTGATGTGTGCGTTCAACTCACAGAGTTTAACCTTTCTTTTCATAGAGGAGTTTGGAAACACACTGTTTGTAAAGTCTGCAATTGGATATATGGACCTGTTTGAGGCCTTCGTTGGAAACGGGATTTCTTCATTGAATGCTAGACGGAAGAATTCTCAGTAAATTCTTTGTGTTGTGTGCATTCAACTCACAGAGTGGAACGTCCCTTTAGACAGAGCAGATTTGAAACACTCTTTTTGCGGAATTTGCAAGTGGAGATTTCTAGCCATTTGATGCCAACAGTAGAAAGGGAAATATCTTCAAATAAAAACCAGACAGAATCATTCTCAGAAAATTCTTTGTGATGTGTGCGTTCAACTCACATAGTTTAACCTTTCTTTTCATAGAGCAGTTTGGAAACACTCTGTTTGTAAAGTCTGCAAGTGGATCTATGGACCGCATTGAGGCCTTCGTTGGAAACGGGATTTCTTCATTTCATGCTAGACAGAAGAATTCTCAGTAACTTCTTTGTGCTGTGTGTATTCAACTCACAGAGTGGAACGTCCCTTTGCACAGAGCAGATTTGAAACACTCTTTGTGGAATTTGCAAGTGGAGATTTCAAGCGATTTGATGCCAACAGTAGAAAAGGAAATATCTTCAAATAAAAACTAGACAGAATCATTCTCAGAAACTACTTTGTGATGTGTGCCTTCAACTCACAGAGTTTAACCTTTCTTTTCTTAGAGCAGTTTAGAAACACTCTGCTTGTTATGTCTGCAAGTGGATATTTGGACCTCTTTGAGGCCTTCGTTGCAAACGGGGTTTCTTCCTTTCATGCTAGACTAAGAAGAGTTCTCAGTAACTTTTTTGTGTTGTGTGTATTCAACTCACAGAGTTGAACCTTGCTTTAGAGAGAGCAGATTTGAAACACTCTTGCTGTGGCATTTTCAGGTGGAGATTTCAAGCGATTTGAGGACAATTGCAGAAAAGGAAATATCTTCGTATAATAACCAGACAGAATCATTCTCAGAAAGTGCTTTGTGATGTGTGCGTTCAACTCACAGAGTTTAACCTTTCTTTTCATAGAGGAGTTTGGAAACACACTGTTTGTAATGTCTGCAATTGGATATATGGACCTGTTTGAGGCCTTCGTTGGAAACGGAATTTCTTCATTGAATGCTAGACGGAAGAATTCTCAGTAAATTCTTTGTGTTGTCTGCATTCAACTCACAGAGTGGAACGTCCTTTTAGACAGAGCAGATTTGAAACACTCTTTGTCTGGAATTTGCAAATGGAGATTTCAAGCGATTTGATGACAACAGTAGAAAAAGAAATATCTTCAAATAAAAACCAGACAGAATCATTCTCAGAAAGTGCTTTGTGATGTGTGCGTTCAACTCACAGAGTTTAACCTTTCTTTTCATAGAGGAGTTTGGAAACACACTGTTTGTAAAGTCTGCAAGTGGATATATGGACCTGTTTGAGGTCTTCGTTGGAAACGGGATTTCTTCATTGAATGCTAGACGGAAGAAATCTCAGTAAATTCTTTGTGTTGTGTGCATTCAACTCACAGAGTGGAACGTCCCTTTAGACAGAGCAGATTTGAAACACTCTTTTTGCGGAATTTGCAAGTGGAGATTTCTAGCCATTTGATGCCAACAGTAGAAAGGGAAATATCTTCAAATAAAAACCAGACAGAATCATTCTCAGAAAGTGCTTTGTGATGTGTGCGTTCAACTCACAGAGTTTAACCTTTCTTTTCATAGAGCAGTTTGGAAACACTCTGTTTGTAAAGTCTGCAAGTGGATATATGGACCGCATTGAGGCCTTCGTTGGAAACGGGATTTCTTCATTTCATGCTAGACAGAAGAATTCTCAGTAACTTCTTTGTGCTGTGTGTATTCAACTCACAGAGTGGAACGTCCCTTTACACAGAGCAGATTTGAAACACTCTTTTTGTGGAGTTTGCAAGTGGAGATTTCAAGCGATTTGATGCCAACAGTAGAAAAGGAAATATCTTCAAATAAAAACTAGACAGAATCATTCTCAAAAACTACTTTGTGATGTGTGCCTTCAACTCACAGAGTTTAACCTTTCTTTTCTTAGAGCAGTTTAGAAACACTCTGCTTGTTATGTCTGCAAGTGGATATTTGGACCTCTTTGAGGCCTTCGTTGCAAACGGGGTTTCTTCCTTTCATGCTAGACTAAGAAGAGTTCTCAGTAACTTTTTTGTGTTGTGTGTATTCAACTCACAGAGCTGAACCTTGCTTTAGAGAGAGCAGATTTGAAACACTCTTGCTGTGGCATTTTCAGGTGGAGATTTCAAGCGATTTGAGGACAATTGCAGAAAAGGAAATATCTTCGTATAACAACCAGACAGAATCATTCTCAGAAAGTGCTTTGTGATGTGTGCGTTCAACTCACAGAGTTTAACCTTTCTTTTCATAGAGGAGTTTGGAAACACACTGTTTGTAAAGTCTGCAAGTGGATATATGGACCTGTTTGAGGCCTTCGTTGGAAACGGGATTTCTTCATTGAATGCTAGACGGAAGAATTCTCAGTAAATTCTTTGTGTTGTGTGCATTCAACTGACAGAGTGGAACGTCCCTTTAGACAGAGCAGATTTGAAACACTCTTTTTGCGGAATTTGCAAGTGGAGATTTCTAGCCATTTGATGCCAACAGTAGAAAGGGAAACATCTTCAAATAAAAACCAGACAGAATCATTCTCAGAAAATTCTTTGTGATGTGTGCGTTCAACTCACATAGTTTAACCTTTCTTTTCATAGAGCAGTTTGGAAACACTCTGTTTGTAAAGTCTGCAAGTGGATATATGGACCGCATTGAGGCCTTCGTTGGAAACGGGATTTCTTCATTTCATGCTAGACAGAAGAATTCTCAGTAACTTCTTTGTGCTGTGTGTATTCAACTCACAGAGTGGAACGTCCCTTTACACAGAGCAGATTTGAAACACTCTTTTTGTGGAGTTTGCAAGTGGAGATTTCAAGCGATTTGATGCCAACAGTAGAAAAGGAAATATCTTCAAATAAAAACTAGACAGAATCATTCTCAGAAACTACTTTGTGATGTGTGCCTTCAACTCACAGAGTTTAACCTTTCTTTTCTTAGAGCAGTTTAGAAACACTCTGCTTGTTATGTCTGCAAGTGGATATTTGGACCTCTTTGAGGCCTTCGTTGCAAACGGGGTTTCTTCCTTTCATGCTAGACTAAGAAGAGTTCTCAGTAACTTTTTTGTGTTGTGTGTATTCAACTCACAG
Source organism: Homo sapiens (assembly GCF_000001405.40). Taxonomy (NCBI): domain Eukaryota; kingdom Metazoa; phylum Chordata; class Mammalia; order Primates; family Hominidae; genus Homo; species Homo sapiens. The sequence goes on from NC_000007.14 coordinate 60,725,051, forward strand.
AGTTGAACCTTGCTTTAGAGAGAGCAGATTTGAAACACTCTTGCTGTGGCATTTTCAGGTGGAGATTTCAAGCGATTTGAGGACAATTGCAGAAAAGGGAATATCTTCGTATAACAACCAGACAGAATCATTCTCAGAAAGTGCTTTGTGATGTGTGCGTTCAACTCACAGAGTTTAACCTTTCTTTTCATAGAGGAGTTTGGAAACACACTGTTTGTAAAGTCTGCAATTGGATATATGGACCTGTTTGAGGCCTTCGTTGGAAACGGGATTTCTTCATTGACTGCTAGACGGAAGAATTCTCAGTAAATTCTTTGTGTTGTGTGCATTCAACTCACAGAGTGGAACGTCCCTTTAGACAGAGCAGATTTGAAACACTCTTTTTGCGGAATTTGCAAGTGGAGATTTCTAGCCATTTGATGCCAACAGTAGAAAGGGAAATATCTTCAAATAAAAACCAGACAGAATCATTCTCAGAAAATTCTTTGTGATGTGTGCGTTCAACTCACATAGTTTAACCTTTCTTTTCATAGAGCAGTTTGGAAACACTCTGTTTGTAAAGTCTGCAAGTGGATATATGGACCGCATTGAGGCCTTCGTTGGAAACGGGATTTCTGCATTTCATGCTACACAGAAGGATTCTCAGTAACTTCTTTGTGCTGTGTGTATTCAAGTCACAGAGTGGAACGTCCCTTTGCACAGAGCAGATTTGAAACACTCTTTTTGTGGAATTTGCAAGTGGAGATTTCAAGCGATTTGATGCCAACAGTAGAAAAGGAAATATCTTCAAATAAAAACTAGACAGAAATCATTCTCAGAAACTACTTTGTGATGTGTGCCTTTAACTCACAGAGTTTAACCTTTCTTTTCTTAGAGCAGTTTAGAAACACTCTGCTTGTTATGTCTGCAAGTGGATATTTGGACCTCTTTGAGGCCTTCGTTGCATACGGGGTTTCTTCCTTTCATGCTAGACTAAGAAGAGTTCTCAGTAACTTTTTTGTGTTGTGTGTATTCAACTCACAGAGTTGAACCTTGCTTTAGAGAGAGCAGATTTGAAACACTCTTGCTGTGGCATTTTCAGGTGGAGATTTCAAGCGATTTGAGGACAATTGCAGAAAAGGAAATATCTTCGTATAATAACCAGACAGAATCATTCTCAGAAAGTGCTTTGTGATGTGTGCGTTCAACTCACAGAGTTTAACCTTTCTTTTCATAGAGGAGTTTGGAAACACACTGTTTGTAAAGTCTGCAATTGGATATATGGACCTGTTTGAGGCCTTCGTTGGAAACGGGATTTCTTCATTGAATGCTAGACGGAAGAATTCTCAGTAAATTCTTTGTGTTGTGTGCATTCAACTCACAGAGTGGAACGTCCCTTTAGACAGAGCAGATTTGAAACACTTTTTGGCGGAATTTGCAAGTGGAGATTTCAAGCCATTTGATGCCAACAGTAGAAAGGGAAATATCTTCAAATAAAAACCAGACAGAATCATTCTCAGAAAATTCTTTGTGATGTGTGCGTTCAACTCACATAGTTTAACCTTTCTTTTCATAGAGCAGTTTGGAAACACTCTGTTTGTAAAGTCTGCAAGTGGATATATGGACCGCATTGAGGCCATCGTTGGAAACGGGATTTCTTCATTTCATGCTAGACAGAAGAATTCTCAGTAACTTCTTTGTGCTGTGTGTATTCAACTCACAGAGTGGAACGTCCCTTTACACAGAGCAGATTTGAAACACTCTTTTTGTGGAGTTTGCAAGTGGAGATTTCAAGCGATTTGATGCCAACAGTAGAAAAGGAAATATCTTCAAATAAAAACTAGACAGAATCATTCTCAGAAACTACTTTGTGATGTGTGCCTTCAACTCACAGAGTTTAACCTTTCTTTTCTTAGAGCAGTTTAGAAACACTCTGCTTGTTATGTCTGCAAGTGGATATTTGGACCTCTTTGAGGCCTTCGTTGCAAACGGGGTTTCTTCCTTTAATGCTAGACTAAGAAGAGTTCTCAGTAACTTTTTTGTGTTGTGTGTATTCAACTCACAGAGTTGAACCTTGCTTTAGAGAGAGCAGATTTGAAACACTCTTGCTGTGGCATTTTCAGGTGGAGATTTCAAGCGTTTTGAGGACAATTGCAGAAAAGGAAATATCTTCGTATAATAACCAGACAGAATCATTCTCAGAAAGTGCTTTGTGATGTGTGCGTTCCACTCACAGAGTTTAACCTTTCTTTTCATAGAGGAGTTTGGAAACACACTGTTTGTAAAGTCTGCAAGTGGATATATGGACCTGTTTGAGGCCTTCGTTGGAAACGGGATTTCTTCATTGAATGCTAGGCGGAAGAATTCTCAGTAAATTCTTTGTGTTGTGTGCATTCAACTCACAGAGTGGAACGTCCCTTTAGACAGAGCAGATTTGAAACACTCTTTTTGCGGAATTTGCAAGTGGAGATTTCTAGCCATTTGATGCCAACAGTAGAAAGGGAAATATCTTCAAATAAAAACCAGACAGAATCATTCTCAGAAAATTCTTTGTGATGTGTGCGTTCAACTCACATAGTTTAACCTTTCTTTTCATAGAGCAGTTTGGAAACACTCTGTTTGTAAAGTCTGCAAGTGGATATATGGACCGCATTGAGGCCTTCGTTGGAAACGGGATTTCTTCATTTCATGCTAGACAGAAGAATTCTCAGTAACTTCTTTGTGCTGTGTGTATTCAACTCACAGAGTGGAACGTCCCTTTGCACAGAGCAGATTTGAAACACTCTTTTTGTGGAATTTGCAAGTGGAGATTTCAAGCGATTTGATGCCAACAGTAGAAAAGGAAATATCTTCAAATAAAAACTAGACAGAATCATTCTCAGAAACTACTTTGTGATGTGTGCCTTCAACTCACAGAGTTTAACCTTTCTTTTCTTAGAGCAGTTTAGAAACACTCTGCTTGTTATGTCTGCAAGTGGATATTTGGACCTCTTTGAGGCCTTCGTTGCAAACGGGGTTTCTTCCTTTCATGCTAGACTAAGAAGAGTTCTCAGTAACTTTTTTGTGTTGTGTGTATTCAACTCACAGAGTTGAACCTTGCTTTAGAGAGAGCAGATTTGAAACACTCTTGCTGTGGCATTTTCAGGTGGAGATTTCAAGCGATTTGAGGACAATTGCAGAAAAGGAAATATCTTCGTATAATAACCAGACAGAATCATTCTCAGGAAAGTGCTTTGTGATGTGTGCGTTCAACTCACAGAGTTTAACCTTTCTTTTCATAGAGGAGTTTGGAAACACACTGTTTGTAAAGTCTGCAAGTGGATATATGGACCTGTTTGAGGCCTTCGTTGGAAACGGGATTTCTTCATTGAATGCTAGACGGAAGAATTCTCAGTAAATTCTTTGTGTTGTGTGCATTCAACTCACAGAGTGGAACGTCCCTTTAGACAGAGCAGATTTGAAACACTCTTTTTGCGGAATTTGCAAGTGGAGATTTCTAGCCATTTGATGCCAACAGTAGAAAGGGAAATATCTTCAAATAAAAACCAGACAGAATCATTCTCAGAAAATTCTTTGTGATGTGTGCGTTCAACTCACATAGTTTAACCTTTCTTTTCATAGAGCAGTTTGGAAACACTCTGTTTGTAAAGTCTGCAAGTGGATATATGGACCGCATTGAGGCCTTCGTTGGAAACGGGATTTCTTCATTTCATGCTAGACAGAAGAATTCTCAGTAACTTCTTTGTGCTGTGTGTATTCAACTCACAGAGTGGAACGTCCCTTTGCACAGAGCAGATTTGAAACACTCTTTTTGTGGAGTTTGCAAGTGGAGATTTCAAGCGATTTGATGCCAACAGTAGAAAAGGAAATATCTTCAAATAAAAACTAGACAGAATCATTCTCAGAAACTACTTTGTGATGTGTGCCTTCAACTCACAGAGTTTAACCTTTCTTTTCTTAGAGCAGTTTAGAAACACTCTGCTTGTTATGTCTGCAAGTGGATATTTGGACCTCTTTGAGGCCTTCGTTGCAAACGGGGTTTCTTCCTTTCATGCTAGACTAAGAAGAGTTCTCAGTAACTTTTTTGTGTTGTGTGTATTCAACTCACAGAGTTGAACCTTGCTTTAGAGAGAGCAGATTTGAAACACTCTTGCTGTGGCATTTTCAGGTGGAGATTTCAAGCGATTTGAGGACAATTGCAGAAAAGGAAATATCTTCGTATAATAACCAGACAGAATCATTCTCAGAAAGTGCTTTGTGATGTGTGCGTTCAACTCACAGAGTTTAACCTTTCTTTTCATAGAGGAGTTTGGAAACACACTGTTTGTAAAGTCTGCAATTGGATATATGGACCTGTTTGAGGCCTTCGTTGGAAACGGGATTTCTTCATTGAATGCTAGGCGGAAGAATTCTCAGTAAATTCTTTGTGTTGTGTGCATTCAACTCACAGAGTGGAACGTCCCTTTAGACAGAGCAGATTTGAAACACTCTTTTTGCGGAATTTGCAAGTGGAGATTTCTAGCCATTTGATGCCAACAGTAGAAAGGGAAATATCTTCAAATAAAAACCAGACAGAATCATTCTCAGAAAATACTTTGTGATGTGTGCGTTCAACTCACATAGTTTAACCTTTCTTTTCATAGAGCAGTTTGGAAACACTCTGTTTGTAAAGTCTGCAAGTGGATATATGGACCGCATTGAGGCCTTCGTTGGAAACGGGATTTCTTCATTTCATGCTAGACAGAAGAATTCTCAGTAACTTCTTTGTGCTGTGTGTATTCAACTCACAGAGTGGAACGTCCCTTTGCACAGAGCAGATTTGAAACACTCTTTTTGTGGAGTTTGCAAGTGGAGATTTCAAGCGATTTGATGCCAACAGTAGAAAAGGAAATATCTTCAAATAAAAACTAGACAGAATCATTCTCAGAAACTACTTTGTGATGTGTGCCTTCAACTCACAGAGTTTAACCTTTCTTTTCTTAGAGCAGTTTAGAAACACTCTGCTTGTTATGTCTGCAAGTGGATATTTGGACCTCTTTGAGGCCTTCGTTGCAAACGGGGTTTCTTCCTTTCATGCTAGACTAAGAAGAGTTCTCAGTAACTTTTTTGTGTTGTGTGTATTCAACTCACAGAGTTGAACCTTGCTTTAGAGAGAGCAGATTTGAAACACTCTTGCTGTGGCATTTTCAGGTGGAGATTTCAAGCGATTTGAGGACAATTGCAGAAAAGGAAATATCTTCGTATAATAACCAGACAGAATCATTCTCAGAAAGTGCTTTGTGATGTGTGCGTTCCACTCACAGAGTTTAACCTTTCTTTTCATAGAGGAGTTTGGAAACAAACTGTTTGTAAACTCTGCAAGTGGATATATGGACCTGTTTGAGGCCTTCGTTGGAAACGGGATTTCTTCATTGAATGCTAGACGGAAGAATTCTCAGTAAATTCTTTGTGTTGTGTGCATTCAACTCACAGAGTGGAACGTCCCTTTAGACAGAGCAGATTTGAAACACTCTTTTTGCGGAATTTGCAAGTGGAGATTTCTAGCCATTTGATGCCAACTGTAGAAAGGGAAATATCTTCAAATAAAAACCAGACAGAATCATTCTCAGAAAATTCTTTGTGATGTGTGCGTTCAACTCACATAGTTTAACCTTTCTTTTCTTAGAGCAGTTTAGAAACACTCTGCTTGTTATGTCTGCAAGTGGATATTTGGACCTCTTTGAGGCCTTCGTTGCAAACGGGGTTTCTTCCTTTCATGCTAGACTAAGAAGAGTTCTCAGTAACTTTTTTGTGTTGTGTGTATTCAACTCACAGAGTTGAACCTTGCTTTAGAGAGAGCAGATTTGAAACACTCTTGCTGTGGCATTTTCAGGTGGAGATTTCAAGCGATTTGAGGACAATTGCAGAAAAGGAAATATCTTCGTATAACAACCAGACAGAATCATTCTCAGAAAGTGCTTTGTGATGTGTGCATTCAACTCACAGAGTTTAACCTTTCTTTTCATTGAGGAGTTTGGAAACACACTGTTTGTAAAGTCTGCAATTGGATATATGGACCTGTTTGAGGCCTTCGTTGGAAACGGGATTTCTTCATTGAATGCTAGACGGAAGAATTCTCAGTAAATTCTTTGTGTTGTGTGCATTCAACTCACAGAGTGGAACGTCCCTTTAGACAGAGCAGATTTGAAACACTCTTTTTGCGGAATTTGCAAGTGGAGATTTCTAGCCATTTGATGCCAACAGTAGAAAGGGAAATATCTTCAAATAAAAACCAGACAGAATCATTCTCAGAAAATTCTTTGTGATGTGTGCGTTCAACTCACATAGTTTAACCTTTCTTTTCATAGAGCAGTTTGGGAACACTCTGTTGGTAATGTCTGCAAGTGGATATATGGACCGCTTTGAGGCCTTCGTTGGAAACGGGATTTCTTCATTTCATGCTAGACAGAAGAATTCTCAGTAACTTCTTTGTGCTGTGTGTATTCAACTCACAGAGTGGAACGTCCTTTTGCACAGAGCAGATTTGAAACACTCTTTTTGTGGAATTTGCAAGTGGAGATTTCAAGCGATTTGATGCCAACAGTAGAAAAGGAAATATCTTCAAATAAAAACTAGACAGAATCATTCTCAGAAACTACTTTGTGATGTGTGCCTTCAACTCACAGAGTTTAACCTTTCTTTTCTTAGAGCAGTTTAGAAACACTCTGCTTGTTATGTCTGCAAGTGGATATTTGGACCTCTTTGAGGCCTTCGTTGCAAACGGGGTTTCTTCCTTTAATGCTAGACTAAGAAGAGTTCTCAGTAACTTTTTTGTGTTGTGTGTATTCAACTCACAGAGTTGAACCTTGCTTTAGAGAGAGCAGATTTGAAACACTCTTGCTGTGGCATTTTCAGGTGGAGATTTCAAGCGATTTGAGGACAATTGCAGAAAAGGAAATATCTTCGTATAATAACCAGACAGAATCATTCTCAGAAAGTGCTTTGTGATGTGTGCGTTCAACTCACAGAGTTTAACCTTTCTTTTCATAGAGGAGTTTGGAAACACACTGTTTGTAAAGTCTGCAATTGGATATATGGACCTGTTTGAGGCCTTCGTTGGAAACGGGATTTCTTCATTGACTGCTAGACGGAAGAATTCTCAGTAAATTCTTTGTGTTGTGTGCATTCAACTGACAGAGTGGAACGTCCCTTTAGACAGAGCAGATTTGAAACACTCTTTTTGCGGAATTTGCAAGTGGAGATTTCTAGCCATTTGATGCCAACAGTAGAAAGGGAAATATCTTCAAATAAAAACCAGACAGAATCATTCTCAGAAAATTCTTTGTGATGTGTGCGTTCAACTCACATAGTTTAACCTTTCTTTTCATAGAGCAGTTTGGAAACACTCTGTTTGTAAAGTCTGCAAGTGGATATATGGACCGCATTGAGGCCTTCGTTGGAAACGGGATTTCTTCATTTCATGCTAGACAGAAGAATTCTCAGTAACTTCTTTGTGCTGTGTGTATTCAACTCACAGAGTGGAACGTCCCTTTGCACAGAGCAGATTTGAAACACTCTTTTTGTGGAATTTGCAAGTGGAGATTTCAAGCGATTTGATGCCAACAGTAGAAAAGGAAATATCTTCAAATAAAAACTAGACAGAATCATTCTCAGAAAGTGCTTTGTGATGTGTGCGTTCAACTCACTGAGTTTAACCTTTCTTTTCGTAGAGCAGTTTAGAAACACTCTGCTTCTTATGTCTGCAAGTGGATATTTGGACCTCTTTGAGGCCTTCGTTGCAAACGGGATTTCTTCCTTTAATGCTAGACTAAGAAGAGTTCTCAGTAACTTTTTTGTGTTGTGTGTATTCAACTCACAGAGTTGAACCTTGCTTTAGAGAGAGCAGATTTGAAACACTCTTGCTGTGGCATTTTCAGGTGGAGATTTCAAGCGATTTGAGGACAATTGCAGAAAAGGAAATATCTTCGTATAATAACCAGACAGAATCATTCTCAGAAAGTGCTTTGTGATGTGTGCGTTCAACTCACAGAGTTTAACCTTTCTTTTCATAGAGGAGCTTCGAAACACACTGTTTGTAAAGTCTGCAATTGGATATATGGACCTGTTTGAGGCCTCCGTTGGAAACGGGATTTCTTCATTGAATGCTAGACGGAAGAAATCTCAGTAAATTCTTTGTGTTGTGTGCATTCAACTCACAGAGTGGAACCGTCCCTTTAGACAGAGCAGATTTGAAACACTCTTTTTGGGGAATTTGCAAGTGGAGATTTCTAGCCATTTGATGCCAACAGTAGAAAGGGAAATATCTTCAAATAAAAACCAGACAGAATCATTCTCAGAAAATTCTTTGTGATGTGTGCGTTCAACTCACATAGTTTAACCTTTCTTTTCATAGAGCAGTTTGGGAACACTCTGTTGGTAATGTCTGCAAGTGGATATATGGACCGCTTTGAGGCCTTCGTTGGAAACGGGATTTCTTCATTTCATGCTAGACAGAAGAATTCTCAGTAACTTCTTTGTGCTGTGTGTATTCAACTCACAGAGTGGAACGTCCCTTTGCACAGAGCAGATTTGAAACACTCTTTTTGTGGAGTTTGCAAGTGGAGATTTCAAGCGATTTGATGCCAACAGTAGAAAAGGAAATATCTTCAAATAAAAACTAGACAGAATCATTCTCAGAAACTACTTTGTGATGTGTGCCTTCAACTCACAGAGTTTAACCTTTCTTTTCTTAGAGCAGTTTAGAAACACTCTGCTTGTTATGTCTGCAAGTGGATATTTGGACCTCTTTGAGGCCTTCGTTGCAAACGGGGTTTCTTCCTTTCATGCTAGACTAAGAAGAGTTCTCAGTAACTTTTTTGTGTTGTGTGTATTCAACTCACAGAGCTGAACCTTGCTTTAGAGAGAGCAGATTTGAAACACTCTTGCTGTGGCATTTTCAGGTGGAGATTTCAAGCGATTTGAGGACAATTGCAGAAAAGGAAATATCTTCGTATAACAACCAGACAGAATCATTCTCAGAAAGTGCTTTGTGATGTGTGCGTTCAACTCACACAGTTTAACCTTTCTTTCCATAGAGGAGTTTGGAAACACACTGTTTGTAAAGTCTGCAATTGGATATATGGACCTGTTTGAGGCCTTCGTTGGAAACGGGATTTCTTCATTGAATGCTAGACGGAAGAATTCTCAGTAAATTCTTTGTGTTGTGTGCATTCAACTCACAGAGTGGAACGTCCCTTTAGACAGAGCAGATTTGAAACACTCTTTTTGCGGAATTTGCAAGTGGAGATTTCTAGCCATTTGATGCCAACAGTAGAAAGGGAAATATCTTCAAATAAAAACCAGACAGAATCATTCTCAGAAAATTCTTTGTGATGTGTGCGTTCAACTCACATAGTTTAACCTTTCTTTTCATAGAGCAGTTTGGAAACACTCTGTTTGTAAAGTCTGCAAGTGGATCTATGGACCGCATTGAGGCCTTCGTTGGAAACGGGATTTCTTCATTTCATGCTAGACAGAAGAATTCTCAGTAACTTCTTTGTGTTGTGTGTATTCAACTGACAGATTGGAATGTCCCATTACACAGAGCAGTTTTGAAACACTCTTTTTGTGGAATTTAAAAGTGGAGAATTCAAGCGATTTGATGCCAAAAGTTGGAAAGGAAATATCTTCAAATAAAAATTAGACAGAATCATTCTCAGAAACTACTTTGTGATGTGTGCCTTCAACTCACAGAGTTTAACCTTTCTTTTCTTAGAGCAGTTTAGAAACACTCTGCTTGTTATGTCTGCAAGTGGATATTTGGACCTCTTTGAGGCCTTCGTTGCAAACGGGGTTTCTTCCTTTCATGCTAGACTAAGAAGAGTTCTCAGTAACTTTTTTGTGTTGTGTGTATTCAACTCACAGAGTTGAACCTTGCTTTAGAGAGAGCAGATTTGAAACACTCTTGCTGTGGCATTTTCAGGTGGAGATTTCAAGCGATTTGAGGACAATTGCAGAAAAGGAAATATCTTCGTATAATAACCAGACAGAATCATTCTCAGAAAGTGCTTTGTGTTGTGTGCGTTCAACTCACAGAGTTTAACCTTTCTTTTCATAGAGGAGTTTGGAAACACACTGTTTGTAAAGTCTGCAATTGGATATATGGACCTGTTTGAGGCCTTCGTTGGAAACGGGATTTCTTCATTGAATGCTAGACGGAAGAATTCTCAGTAAATCCTTTGTGTTGTGTTCATTCAACTCACCGAGTGGAACGTCCCTTTAGACAGAGCAGATTTGAAACACTCTTTTTGCGAAATTTGGAAGTGGAGATTTCAAGCCATTTGATGCCAACAGTAGAAAGGGAAATATCTTCAAATAAAAACTAGACAGAATCATTCTCAGAAAATTCTTTGTGATGTGTGCGTTCAACTCACGTAGTTTAACCTTTCTTTTCATAGAGCAGTTTGGAAACACACTGTTTGTAAAGTCTGCAATTGGGTATATGGACCTGTTTGAGGCCTTCGTTGGAAAGGGGATTTTATCATATAATGCTAGCGGAAGAATTCTCAGTAACTTCTTTGTGTTGTGTGTATTCAACTCACAGAGTGGATCGTCCCTTTAGACAGAGCAGATTTGAAACACTCTTTTTGTGGAATTTCAAGTGGAGATTTCAAGCGATTTGATGCCAGCAGTAGAAAAGGAAATATCTTCAAATAAAAAGTAGACAGAATCATTCTCAGAAACTACTTTGTGATGTGTGCCTTCAACTCACAGAGTTTAACCTTTCTTTTCTTAGAGCAGTTTAGAAACACTCTGCTTGTTATGTCTGCAAGTGGATATTTGGACCTCTTTGAGGCCTTCGTTGCAAACGGGATTTCTTCCTTTAATGCTAGACTAAGAAGAGTTCTCAGTAACTTTTTTGTGTTGTGTGTATTCAACTCACAGAGTTGAACGTTGCTTAAGAGAGAGCAGATTTGTAACACTCTTGCTGTGGAATTTTCAGGTGGAGATTTCAAGCGATTTGAGGACAATTGCAGAAAAGGAAATATCTTCGTATAATAACCAGACAGAATCATTCACAGAAAGTGCTTTGTGATGTGTGCGTTCAACTCACAGAGTTTAACCTTTCTTTTCATAGAGGAGTTTGGAAACACACTGTTTGTAAAGTCTGCAATTGGATATATGGACCTGTTTGAGGCCTTCGTTGGAAACGGGATTTCTTCATTGAATGCTAGACGGAAGAATTCTCAGTAAATTCTTTGTGTTGTGTGCATTCAACTCACAGAGTGGAACGTCCCTTTAGACAGAGCAGATTTGAAACACTCTTTTTGCGGAATTTGCAAGTGGAGATTTCTAGCCATTTGATGGCCAACAGTAGAAAGGGAAATATCTTCAAATAAAAACCAGACAGAATCATTCTCAGAAAATTCTTTGTGATGTGTGCGTTCAACTCACATAGTTTAACCTTTCTTTTCATAGAGCAGTTTGGAAACACTCTGTTTGTAAAGTCTGCAAGTGGATATATGGACCGCATTGAGGCCTTCGTTGGAAACGGGATTTCTTCATTTCATGCTAGACAGAAGAATTCTCAGTAACTTCTTTGTGCTGTGTGTATTCAACTCACAGAGTGGAACGTCCCTTTGCACAGAGCAGATTTGAAACACTCTTTTTGTGGAGTTTGCAAGTGGAGATTTCAAGCGATTTGATGCCAACAGTAGAAAAGGAAATATCTTCAAATAAAAACTAGACAGAATCATTCTCAGAAACTGCTTTGTGATGTGTGCCTTCAACTCACAGAGTTTAACCTTTCTTTTCTTAGAGCAGTTTAGAAACACTCTGCTTGTTATGTCTGCAAGTGGATATTTGGACCTCTTTGAGGCCTTCGTTGCAAACGGGGTTTCTTCCTTTCATGCTAGACTAAGAAGAGTTCTCAGTAACTTTTTTGTGTTGTGTGTATTCAACTCACAGAGTTGAACCTTGCTTTAGAGAGAGCAGATTTGAAACACTCTTGCTGTGGCATTTTCAGGTGGAGATTTCAAGCGATTTGAGGACAATTGCAGAAAAGGAAATATCTTCGTATAATAACCAGACAGAATCATTCTCAGAAAGTGCTTTGTGATGTGTGCGTTCAACTCACAGAGTTTAACCTTTCTTTTCATAGAGGAGTTTGGAAACACACTGTTTGTAAAGTCTGCAATTGGATATATGGACCTGTTTGAGGCCTTCGTTGGAAACGGGATTTCTTCATTGAATGCTAGACGGAAGAATTCTCAGTAAATTCTTCGTGTTGTGTGCATTCAACTCACAGAGTGGAACGTCCCTTTAGACAGAGCAGATTTGAAACACTCTTTTTGCGGAATTTGCAAGTGGAGATTTCTAGCCATTTGATGCCAACAGTAGAAAGGGAAATATCTTCAAATAAAAACCAGACAGAATCATTCTCAGAAAATTCTTTGTGATGTGTGCGTTCAACTCACATAGTTTAACCTTTCTTTTCATAGAGCAGTTTGGAAACACTCTGTTTGTAAAGTCTGCAAGTGGATATATGGACCGCATTGAGGCCTTCGTTGGAAACGGGATTTCTTCATTTCATGCTAGACAGAAGAATTCTCAGTAACTTCTTTGTGCTGTGTGTATTCAACTCACAGAGTGGAACCGTCCCTTTACACAGAGCAGATTTGAAACACTCTTTTTGTGGAGTTTGCAAGTGGAGATTTCAAGCGATTTGATGCCAGCAGTAGAAAAGGAAATATCTTCAAATAAAAATTAGACAGAATCATTCTCAGAAACTACTTTGTGATGTGTGCCTTCAACTCACAGAGTTTAACCTTTCTTTTCTTAGAGCAGTTTAGAAACACTCTGCTTGTTATGTCTGCAAGTGGATATTTGGACCTCTTTGAGGCCTTCGTTGCAAACGGGGTTTCTTCCTTTCATGCTAGACTAAGAAGAGTTCTCAGTAACATTTTTGTGTTGTGTGTATTCAACTCACAGAGTTGAACCTTGCTTTAGAGAGAGCAGATTTGAAACACTCTTGCTGTGGCATTTTCAGGTGGAGATTTCAAGCGATTTGAGGACAATTGCAGAAAAGGAAATATCTTCGTATAACAACCAGACAGAATCATTCTCAGAAAGTGCTTTGTGATGTGTGCGTTCAACTCACAGAGTTTAACCTTTCTTTTCATAGAGGAGTTTGGAAACACACTGTTTGTAAAGTCTGCAATTGGATATATGGACCTGTTTGAGGCCTTCGTTGGAAACGGGATTTCTTCATTGAATGCTAGACGGAAGAATTCTCAGTAAATTCTTTTTGTTGTGTGCATTCAACTCACAGAGTGGAACGTCCCTTTAGAAAGAGCAGATTTGAAACACACTTTTTGCGGAATTTGCAAGTGGAGATTTCTAGCCATTTCATGCCAAGAGTAGAAAGGGAAATATCTTCAAATAAAAACTAGACAGAATCAGCCTCAGAAAATTCTTTGTGATGTGTGCGTTCAACTCACATAGTTTAACCTTTCTGTTCATAGAGCAGTTTCGAAACACACTGTTTGTAAAATCTGCATGTGGATATATGGACCGCTTTGAGGCATTCGTTGGAAACGGGATTTCATCATTGAATGCTAGACAGAAGAATTCTCAGTAACTTCTTTGTGCTGTGTGTATTCAACTCACAGAGTGGAACGTCCCTTTACACAGAGCAGATTTGAAACACTCTTTTTGTGGAGTTTGCAAGTGGAGATTTCAAGCGATTTGATGCCAACAGTAGAAAAGGAAATATCTTCAAATAAAAACTAGACAGAATCATTCTCAGAAACTACTTTGTGATGTGTGCCTTCAACTCACAGAGTTTAACCTTTCTTTTCTTAGAGCAGTTTAGAAACACTCTGCTTGTTATGTCTGCAAGTGGATATTTGGACCTCTTTGAGGCCTTCGTTGCAAACGGGGTTTCTTCCTTTCATGCTAGACTAAGAAGAGTTCTCAGTAACTTTTTTGTGTTGTGTGTATTCAACTCACAGAGTTGAACCTTGCTTTAGAGAGAGCAGATTTGAAACACTCTCGCTGTGGAATTTTCAGGTGGAGATTTCAAGCGATTTGAGGACAATTGCAGAAAAGGAAATATCTTCGTATAATAACCAGACAGAATCATTCTCAGAAAGTGCTTTGTGATGTGTGCGTTCCACTCACAGAGTTTAACCTTTCTTTTCATAGAGGAGTTTGGAAACACACTGTTTGTAAAGTCTGCAAGTGGATATATGGACCGCTTTGAGGCCTTCGTTGGAAACGGGATTTCTTCATTGAATGCTAGGCGGAAGAATTCTCAGTAAATTCTTTGTGTTGTGTGCATTCAACTGACAGAGTGGAACGTCCCTTTAGACAGAGCAGATTTGAAACACTCTTTTTGCGGAATTTGCAAGTGGAGATTTCTAGCCATTTGATGCCAACAGTAGAAAGGGAAATATCTTCAAATAAAAACCAGACAGAATCATTCTCAGAAAATTCTTTGTGATGTGTGCGTTCAACTCACATAGTTTAACCTTTCTTTTCATAGAGCAGTTTGGAAACACTCTGTTTGTAAAGTCTGCAAGTGGATATATGGACCGCATTGAGGCCTTCGTTGGAAACGGGATTTCTTCATTTCATGCTAGACAGAAGAATTCTCAGTAACTTCTTTGTGCTGTGTGTATTCAACTCACAGAGTGGAACGTCCCTTTACACAGAGCAGATTTGAAACACTCTTTTTGTGGAGTTTGCAAGTGGAGATTTCAAGCGATTTGATGCCAACAGTAGAAAAGGAAATATCTTCAAATAAAAACTAGACAGAATCATTCTCAGAAACTACTTTGTGATGTGTGCCTTCAACTCACAGAGTTTAACCTTTCTTTTCTTAGAGCAGTTTAGAAACACTCTGCTTGTTATGTCTGCAAGTGGATATTTGGACCTCTTTGAGGCCTTCGTTGCAAACGGGGTTTCTTCCTTTCATGCTAGACTAAGAAGAGTTCTCAGTAACTTTTTTGTGTTGTGTGTATTCAACTCACAGAGTTGAACCTTGCTTTAGAGAGAGCAGATTTGAAACACTCTTGCTGTGGCATTTTCAGGTGGAGATTTCAAGCGATTTGAGGACAATTGCAGAAAAGGAAATATCTTCGTATAATAACCAGACAGAATCATTCTCAGAAAGTGCTTTGTGATGTGTGCGTTCCACTCACAGAGTTTAACCTTTCTTTTCATAGAGGAGTTTGGAAACACACTGTTTGTAAAGTCTGCAAGTGGATATATGGACCTGTTTGAGGCCTTCGTTGGAAACGGGATTTCTTCATTGAATGCTAGACGGAAGAATTCTCAGTAAATTCTTTGTGTTGTGTGCATTCAACTCACAGAGTGGAACGTCCCTTTAGACAGAGCAGATTTGAAACACTCTTTTTGCGGAATTTGCAAGTGGAGATTTCTAGCCATTTGATGCCAACAGTAGAAAGGGAAATATCTTCAAATAAAAACCAGACAGAATCATTCTCAGAAAATTCTTTGTGATGTGTGCGTTCAACTCACATAGTTTAACCTTTCTTTTCATAGAGCAGTTTGGAAACACTCTGTTTGTAAAGTCTGCAAGTGGATATATGGACCGCATTGAGGCCTTCGTTGGAAACGGGATTTCTTCATTTCATGCTAGACAGAAGAATTCTCAGTAACTTCTTTGTGCTGTGTGTATTCAACTCACAGAGTGGAACGTTCCTTTACACAGAGCAGATTTGAAACACTCTTTTTGTGGAATTTGCAAGTGGAGATTTCAAGCGATTTGATGCCAACAGTAGAAAAGGAAATATCTTCAAATAAAAACTAGACAGAATCATTCTCAGAAACTACTTTGTGATGTGTGCCTTCAACTCACAGAGTTTAACCTTTCTTTTCTTAGAGCAGTTTAGAAACACTCTGCTTGTTATGTCTGCAAGTGGATATTTGGACCTCTTTGAGGCCTTCGTTGCAAACGGGGTTTCTTCCTTTCATGCTAGACTAAGAAGAGTTCTCAGTAACTTTTTTGTGTTGTGTGTATTCAAATCACAGAGTTGAACCTTGCTTTAGAGAGAGCAGATTTGAAACACTCTTGCTGTGGCATTTTCAGGTGGAGATTTCAAGCGATTTGAGGACAATTGCAGAAAAGGAAATATCTTCGTATAATAACCAGACAGAATCATTCTCAGAAAGTGCTTTGTGATGTGTGCGTTCAACTCACAGAGTTTAACCTTTCTTTTCATAGAGGAGTTTGGAAACACACTGTTTGTAAAGTCTGCAATTGGATATATGGACCTGTTTGAGGCCTTCGTTGGAAACGGGATTTCTTCATTGAATGCTAGACGGAAGAATTCTCAGTAAATTCTTTGTGTTGTGTGCATTCAACTCACAGAGTGGAACGTCCCTTTAGACAGAGCAGATTTGAAACACTCTTTTTGCGGAATTTGCAAGTGGAGATTTCTAGCCATTTGATGCCAACAGTAGAAAGGGAAATATCTTCAAATAAAAACCAGACAGAATCATTCTCAGAAAATTCTTTGTGATGTGTGCGTTCAACTCACATAGTATAACCTTTCTTTTCATAGAGCAGTTTGGAAACACTCTGTTTGTAAAGTCTGCAAGTGGATATATGGACCGCATTGAGGCCTTCGTTGGAAACGGGATTTCTTCATTTCATGCTAGACAGAAGAATTCTCAGTAACTTCTTTGTGCTGTGTGTATTCAACTCACAGAGTGGAACGTCCCTTTGCACAGAGCAGATTTGAAACACTCTTTTTGTGGAATTTGCAAGTGGAGATTTCAAGCGATTTGATGCCAACAGTAGAAAAGGAAATATCTTCAAATAAAAACTAGACAGAATCATTCTCAGAAACTACTTTGTGATGTGTGCCTTCAACTCACAGAGTTTAACCTTTCTTTTCTTAGAGCAGTTTAGAAACACTCTGCTTGTTATGTCTGCAAGTGGATATTTGGACCTCTTTGAGGCCTTCGTTGCAAACGGGGTTTCTTCCTTTCATGCTAGACTAAGAAGAGTTCTCAGTAACTTTTTTGTGTTGTGTGTATTCAACTCACAGAGTTGAACCTTGCTTTAGAGAGAGCAGATTTGAAACACTCTTGCTGTGGCATTTTCAGGTGGAGATTTCAAGCGATTTGAGGACAATTGCAGAAAAGGAAATATCTTCGTATAATAACCAGACAGAATCATTCTCAGAAAGTGCTTTGTGATGTGTGCGTTGAACTCACAGAGTTTAACCTTTCTTTTCATAGAGGAGTTTGGAAACACACTGTAAAGTCTGCAAGTGGATATATGGACCTGTTTGAGGCCTTCGTTGGAAACGGGATTTCTTCATTGAATGCTAGACGGAAGAATTCTCAGTAAATTCTTTGTGTTGTGTGCATTCAACTGACAGAGTGGAACGTCCCTTTAGACAGAGCAGATTTGAAACACTCTTTTTGCGGAATTTGCAAGTGGAGATTTCTAGCCATTTGATGCCAACAGTAGAAAGGGAAACATCTTCAAATAAAAACCAGACAGAATCATTCTCAGAAAATTCTTTGTGATGTGTGCGTTCAACTCACATAGTTTAACCTTTCTTTTCATAGAGCAGTTTGGAAACACTCTGTTTGTAAAGTCTGCAAGTGGATATATGGACCGCATTGAGGCCTTCGTTGGAAACGGGATTTCTTCATTTCATGCTAGACAGAAGAATTCTCAGTAACTTCTTTGTGCTGTGTGTATTCAACTCACAGAGTGGAACGTCCCTTTACACAGAGCAGATTTGAAACACTCTTTTTGTGGAGTTTGCAAGTGGAGATTTCAAGCGATTTGATACCAGCAGTAGAAAAGGAAATATCTTCAAATAAAAACTAGACAGAATCATTCTCAGAAACTACTTTGTGATGTGTGCCTTCAACTCACAGAGTTTAACCTTTCTTTTCTTAGAGCAGTTTAGAAACACTCTGCTTGTTATGTCTGCAAGTGGATATTTGGACCTCTTTGAGGCCTTCGTTGCAAACGGGGTTTCTTCCTTTAATGCTAGACTAAGAAGAGTTCTCAGTAACTTTTTTGTGTTGTGTGTATTCAACTCACAGAGTTGAACCTTGCTTTAGAGAGAGCAGATTTGAAACACTCTTGCTGTGGCATTTTCAGGTGGAGATTTCAAGCGATTTGAGGACAATTGCAGAAAAGGAAATATCTTCGTATAATAACCAGACAGAATCATTCTCAGAAAGTGCTTTGTGATGTGTGCGTTCCACTCACAGAGTTTAACCTTTCTTTTCATAGAGGAGTTTGGAAACACACTGTTTGTAAAGTCTGCAAGTGGATATATGGACCGCTTTGAGGCCTTCGTTGGAAACGGGATTTCTTCATTGAATGCTAGGCGGAAGAATTCTCAGTAAATTCTTTGTGTTGTGTGCATTCAACTCACAGAGTGGAACGTCCCTTTAGACAGAGCAGATTTGAAACACTCTTTTTGTGGAATTTGCAAGTGGAGATTTCTAGCCATTTGATGCCAACAGTAGAAAGGGAAATATCTTCAAATAAAAACCAGACAGAATCATTCTCAGAAAATTCTTTGTGATGTGTGCGTTCAACTCACATAGTTTAACCTTTCTTTTCATAGAGCAGTTTGGAAACACTCTGTTTGTAAAGTCTGCAAGTGGATATATGGACCGCATTGAGGCCTTCGTTGGAAACGGGATTTCTTCATTTCATGCTAGACAGAAGAATTCTCAGTAACTTCTTTGTGCTGTGTGTATTCAACTCACAGAGTGGAACGTCCCTTTGCACAGAGCAGATTTGAAACACTCTTTTTGTGGAATTTGCAAGTGGAGATTTCAAGCGATTTGATGCCAACAGTAGAAAAGGAAATATCTTCAAATACAAACTAGACAGAATCATTCTCAGAAACTACTTTGTGATGTGTGCCTTCAACTCACAGAGTTTAACCTTTCTTTTCTTAGAGCAGTTTAGAAACACTCTGCTTGTTATGTCTGCAAGTGGATATTTGGACCTCTTTGAGGCCTTCGTTGCAAACGGGGTTTCTTCCTTTCATGCTAGACTAAGAAGAGTTCTCAGTAACTTTTTTGTGTTGTGTGTATTCAACTCACAGAGTTGAACCTTGCTTTAGAGAGAGCAGATTTGAAACACTCTTGCTGTGGCATTTTCAGGTGGAGATTTCAAGCGATTTGAGGACAATTACAGAAAAGGAAATATCTTCGTATAACAACCAGACAGAATCATTCTCAGCAAAGTGCTTTGTGATGTGTGCGTTCAACTCACAGAGTTTAACCTTTCTTTTCATAGAGGAGTTTGGAAACACACTGTTTGTAAAGTCTGCAATTGGATATATGGACCTGTTTGAGGCCTTCGTTGGAAACGGGATTTCTTCATTGAATGCTAGACGGAAGAATTCTCAGTAAATTCTTTGTGTTGTGTGCATTCAACTCACAGAGTGGAACGTCCCTTTAGACAGAGCAGATTTGAAACACTCTTTTTGCGGAATTTGCAAGTGGAGATTTCTAGCCATTTGATGCCAACAGTAGAAAGGGAAATATCTTCAAATAAAAACCAGACAGAATCATTCTCAGAAAATTCTTTGTGATGTGTGCGTTCAACTCACATAGTTTAACCTTTCTTTTCATAGAGCAGTTTGGAAACACTCTGTTTGTAAAGTCTGCAAGTGGATATATGGACCGCATTGAGGCCTTCGTTGGAAACGGGATTTCTTCATTTCATGCTAGACAGAAGAATTCTCAGTAACTTCTTTGTGCTGTGTGTATTCAACTCACAGAGTGGAACGTCCCTTTGCACAGAGCAGATTTGAAACACTCTTTTTGTGGAATTTGCAAGTGGAGATTTCAAGCGATTTGATGCCAACAGTAGAAAAGGAAATATCTTCAAATAAAAACTAGACAGAATCATTCTCAGAAACTACTTTGTGATGTGTGCCTTCAACTCACAGAGTTTAACCTTTCTTTTCTTAGAGCAGTTTAGAAACACTCTGCTTGTTATGTCTGCAAGTGGATATTTGGACCTCTTTGAGGCCTTCGTTGCAAACGGGGTTTCTTCCTTTCATGCTAGACTAAGAAGAGTTCTCAGTAACTTTTTTGTGTTGTGTGTATTCAACTCACAGAGTTGAACCTTGCTTTAGAGAGAGCAGATTTGAAACACTCTTGCTGTGGCATTTTCAGGTGGAGATTTCAAGCGTTTTGAGGACAATTGCAGAAAAGGAAATATCTTCGTATAATAACCAGACAGAATCATTCTCAGAAAGTGCTTTGTGATGTGTGCGTTCCACTCACAGAGTTTAACCTTTCTTTTCATAGAGGAGTTTGGAAACACACTGTTTGTAAACTCTGCAAGTGGATATATGGACCTGTTTGAGGCCTTCGTTGGAAACGGGATTTCTTCATTGAATGCTAGACGGAAGAATTCTCAGTAAATTCTTTGTGTTGTGTGCATTCAACTCACAGAGTGGAACGTCCCTTTAGACAGAGCAGATTTGAAACACTCTTTTTGCGGAATTTGCAAGTGGAGATTTCTAGCCATTTGATGCCAACAGTAGAAAGGGAAATATCTTCAAATAAAAACCAGACAGAATCATTCTCAGAAAATTCTTTGTGATGTGTGCGTTCAACTCACATAGTTTAACCTTTCTTTTCATAGAGCAGTTTGGAAACACTCTGTTTGTAAAGTCTGCAAGTGGATCTATGGACCGCATTGAGGCCTTCGTTGGAAACGGGATTTCTTCATTTCATGCTAGACAGAAGAATTCTCAGTAACTTCTTTGTGCTGTGTGTATTCAACTCACAGAGTGGAACGTCCCTTTGCACAGAGCAGATTTGAAACACTCTTTTTGTGGAATTTGCAAGTGGAGATTTCAAGCGATTTGATGCCAACAGTAGAAAAGGAAATATCTTCAAATAAAAACTAGACAGAATCATTCTCAGAAACTACTTTGTGATGTGTGCCTTCAACTCACAGAGTTTAACCTTTCTTTTCTTAGAGCAGTTTAGAAACACTCTGCTTGTTATGTCTGCAAGTGGATATTTGGACCTCTTTGAGGCCTTCGTTGCAAACGGGGTTTCTTCCTTTCATGCTAGACTAAGAAGAGTTCTCAGTAACATTTTTGTGTTGTGTGTATTCAACTCACAGAGTTGAACCTTGCTTTAGAGAGAGCAGATTTGAAACACTCTTGCTGTGGCATTTTCAGGTGGAGATTTCAAGCGATTTGAGGACAATTGCAGAAAAGGAAATATCTTCGTATAACAACCAGACAGAATCATTCTCAGAAAGTGCTTTGTGATGTGTGCGTTCCACTCACAGAGTTTAACCTTTCTTTTCATAGAGGAGTTTGGAAACACACTGTTTGTAAAGTCTGCAAGTGGATATATGGACCTGTTTGAGGCCTTCGTTGGAAACGGGATTTCTTCATTGAATGCTAGACGGAAGAATTCTCAGTAAATTCTTTGTGTTGTGTGCATTCAACTCACAGAGTGGAACGTCCCTTTAGACAGAGCAGATTTGAAACACTCTTTTTGCGGAATTTGCAAGTGGAGATTTCTAGCCATTTGATGCCAACAGTAGAAAGGGAAATATCTTCAAATAAAAACCAGACAGAATCATTCTCAGAAAATTCTTTGTGATGTGTGCGTTCAACTCACATAGTTTAACCTTTCTTTTCATAGAGCAGTTTGGAAACACTCTGTTTGTAAAGTCTGCAAGTGGATATATGGACCGCATTGAGGCCTTCGTTGGAAACGGGATTTCTTCATTTCATGCTAGACAGAAGAATTCTCAGTAACTTCTTTGTGCTGTGTGTATTCAACTCACAGAGTGGAACGTCCCTTTGCACAGAGCAGATTTGAAACACTCTTTTTGTGGAGTTTGCAAGTGGAGATTTCAAGCGATTTGATGCCAACAGTAGAAAAGGAAATATCTTCAAATAAAAACTAGACAGAATCATTCTCAGAAACTACTTTGTGATGTGTGCCTTCAACTCACAGAGTTTAACCTTTCTTTTCTTAGAGCAGTTTAGAAACACTCTGCTTGTTATGTCTGCAAGTGGATATTTGGACCTCTTTGAGGCCTTCGTTGCAAACGGGGTTTCTTCCTTTCATGCTAGACTAAGAAGAGTTCTCAGTAACTTTTTTGTGTTGTGTGTATTCAACTCACAGAGTTGAACCTTGCTTTAGAGAGAGCAGATTTGAAACACTCTTGCTGTGGCATTTTCAGGTGGAGATTTCAAGCGATTTGAGGACAATTGCAGAAAAGGAAATATCTTCGTATAATAACCAGACAAAATCATTCTCAGAAAGTGCTTTGTGATGTGTGCGTTCCACTCACAGAGTTTAACCTTTCTTTTCATAGAGGAGTTTGGAAACACACTGTTTGTAAACTCTGCAAGTGGATATATGGACCTGTTTGAGGCCTTCGTTGGAAACGGGATTTCTTCATTGAATGCTAGACGGAAGAATTCTCAGTAAATTCTTTGTGTTGTGTGCATTCAACTCACAGAGTGGAACGTCCCTTTAGACAGAGCAGATTTGAAACACTCTTTTTGCGGAATTTGCAAGTGGAGATTTCTAGCCATTTGATGCCAACAGTAGAAAGGGAAATATCTTCAAATAAAAACCAGACAGAATCATTCTCAGAAAATTCTTTGTGATGTGTGCGTTCAACTCACATAGTTTAACCTTTCTTTTCATAGAGCAGTTTGGAAACACTCTGTTTGTAAAGTCTGCAAGTGGATATATGGACCGCATTGAGGCCTTCGTTGGAAACGGGATTTCTTCATTTCATGCTAGACAGAAGAATTCTCAGTAACTTCTTTGTGCTGTGTGTATTCAACTCACAGAGTGGAACGTCCCTTTACACAGAGCAGATTTGAAACACTCTTTTTGTGGAATTTGCAAGTGGAGATTTCAAGCGATTTGATGCCAACAGTAGAAAAAGAAATATCTTCAAATAAAAACTAGACAGAATCATTCTCAGAAACTACTTTGTGATGTGTGCCTTCAACTCACAGAGTTTAACCTTTCTTTTCTTAGAGCAGTTTAGAAACACTCTGCTTGTTATGTCTGCAAGTGGATATTTGGACCTCTTTGAGGCCTTCGTTGCAAACGGGGTTTCTTCCTTTCATGCTAGACTAAGAAGAGTTCTCAGTAACTTTTTTGTGTTGTGTGTATTCAACTCACAGAGTTGAACCTTGCTTTAGAGAGAGCAGATTTGAAACACTCTTGCTGTGGCATTTTCAGGTGGAGATTTCAAGCGATTTGAGGACAATTGCAGAAAAGGAAATATCTTCGTATAATAACCAGACAGAATCATTCTCAGAAACTACTTTGTGATGTGTGCCTTCAAATCACAGAGTTTAACCTTTCTTTTCATAGAGGAGTTTGGAAACACACTGTTTGTAAAGTCTGCATTTGGATATATGGACCTGTTTGAGGCCTTCGTTGGAAACGGGATTTCTTCATTGAATGCTAGACGGAAGAATTCTCAGTAAATTCTTTGTGTTGTGTGCATTCAACTCACAGAGTGGAACGTCCCTTTAGACAGAGCAGATTTGAAACCCTCTTTTTGCGGAATTTGCAAGTGGAGATTTCTAGCCATTTGATGCCAACAGTAGAAAGGGAAATATCTTCAAATAAAAACCAGACAGAATCATTCTCAGAAAATTCTTTGTGATGTGTGCGTTCAACTCACATAGTTTAACCTTTCTTTTCATAGAGCAGTTTGGAAACACTCTGTTTGTAAAGTCTGCAAGTGGATATATGGACCGCATTGAGGCCTTCGTTGGAAACGGGATTTCTTCATTTCATGCTAGACAGAAGAATTCTCAGTAACTTCTTTGTGCTGTGTGTATTCAACTCACAGAGTGGAACGTCCCTTTGCACAGAGCAGATTTGAAACACTCTTTTTGTGGAATTTGCAAGTGGAGATTTCAAGCGATTTGATGCCAACAGTAGAAAAGGAAATATCTTCAAATAAAAACTAGACAGAAATCATTCTCAGAAACTACTTTGTGATGTGTGCCTTCAACTCACAGAGTTTAACCTTTCTTTTCTTAGAGCAGTTTAGAAACACTCTGCTTGTTATGTCTGCAAGTGGATATTTGGACCTCTTTGAGGCCTTCGTTGCAAACGGGGTTTCTTCCTTTCATGCTAGACTAAGAAGAGTTCTCAGTAACTTTTTTGTGTTGTGTGTATTCAACTCACAGAGTTGAACCTTGCTTTAGAGAGAGCAGATTTGAAACACTCTTGCTGTGGCATTTTCAGGTGGAGATTTCAAGCGATTTGAGGACAATTGCAGAAAAGGAAATATCTTCGTATAATAACCAGACAGAATCATTCTCAGAAAGTGCTTTGTGATGTGTGCGTTCAACTCACAGAGTTTAACCTTTCTTTTCATAGTGGAGTTTGGAAACACACTGTTTGTAAAGTCTGCAAGTGGATATATGGACCTGTTTGAGGCCTTCGTTGGAAACGGGATTTCTTCATTGAATGCTAGACGGAAGAATTCTCAGTAAATTCTTTGTGTTGTGTGCATTCAACTCACAGAGTGGAACGTCCCTTTAGACAGAGCAGATTTGAAACACTCTTTTTGCGGAATTTGCAAGTGGAGATTTCTAGCCATTTGATGCCAACAGTAGAAAGGGAAATATCTTCAAATAAAAACCAGACAGAATCATTCTCAGAAAATTCTTTGTGATGTGTGCGTTCAACTCACATAGTTTAACCTTTCTTTTCATAGAGCAGTTTGGAAACACTCTGTTTGTAAAGTCTGCAAGTGGATATATGGACCGCATTGAGGCCTTCGTTGGAAACGGGATTTCTTCATTTCATGCTAGACAGAAGAATTCTCAGTAACTTCTTTGTGCTGTGTGTATTCAACTCACAGAGTGGAACGTCCCTTTGCACAGAGCAGATTTGAAACACTCTTTTTGTGGAGTTTGCAAGTGGAGATTTCAAGCGATTTGATGCCAACAGTAGAAAAGGAAATATCTTCAAATAAAAACTAGACAGAATCATTCTCAGAAACTACTTTGTGATGTGTGCCTTCAACTCACAGAGTTTAACCTTTCTTTTCTTAGAGCAGTTTAGAAACACTCTGCTTGTTATGTCTGCAAGTGGATATTTGGACCTCTTTGAGGCCTTCGTTGCAAACGGGGTTTCTTCCTTTCATGCTAGACTAAGAAGAGTTCTCAGTAACTTTTTTGTGTTGTGTGTATTCAACTCACAGAGTTGAACCTTGCTTTAGAGAGAGCAGATTTGAAACACTCTTGCTGTGGCATTTTCAGGTGGAGATTTCAAGCGATTTGAGGACAATTGCAGAAAAGGAAATATCTTCCGTATAATAACCAGACAGAATCATTCTCAGAAAGTGCTTTGTGATGTGTGCGTTCAACTCACAGAGTTTAACCTTTCTTTTCATAGAGGAGTTTGGAAACACACTGTTTGTAAAGTCTGCAATTGGATATATGGACCTGTTTGAGGCCTTCGTTGGGAAACGGGATTTCCTCATTGAATGCAAGGCGGAAGAATTCGCAGTAAATTCTTTGTGTTGTGTGCATTCAACTCACAGAGTGGAACGTCCCTTTAGACAGAGCAGATTTGAAACACTCTTTTTGCGGAATTTGCAAGTGGAGATTTCTAGCCATTTGATGCCAACAGTAGAAAGGGAAATATCTTCAAATAAAAACCAGACAGAATCATTCTCAGAAAATTCTTTGTGATGTGTGCGTTCAACTCACATAGTTTAACCTTTCTTTTCATAGAGCAGTTTGGAAACACTCTGTTTGTAAAGTCTGCAAGTGGATATATGGACCGCATTGAGGCCTTCGTTGGAAACGGGATTTCTTCATTTCATGCTAGACAGAAGAATTCTCAGTAACTTCTTTGTGCTGTGTGTATTCAACTCACAGAGTGGAACGTCCCTTTGCACAGAGCAGATTTGAAACACTCTTTTTGTGGAGTTTGCAAGTGGAGATTTCAAGCGATTTGATGCCAACAGTAGAAAAGGAAATATCTTCAAATAAAAACTAGACAGAATCATTCTCAGAAACTACTTTGTGATGTGTGCCTTCAACTCACAGAGTTTAACCTTTCTTTTCTTAGAGCAGTTTAGAAACACTCTGCTTGTTATGTCTGCAAGTGGATATTTGGACCTCTTTGAGGCCTTCGTTGCAAACGGGGTTTCTTCCTTTCATGCTAGACTAAGAAGAGTTCTCAGTAACTTTTTTGTGTTGTGTGTATTCAACTCACAGAGTTGAACCTTGCTTTAGAGAGAGCAGATTTGAAACACTCTTGCTGTGGCATTTTCAGGTGGAGATTTCAAGCGATTTGAGGACAATTGCAGAAAAGGAAATATCTTCGTATAACAACCAGACAGAATCATTCTCAGAAAGTGCTTTGTGATGTGTGCGTTCAACTCACAGAGTTTAACCTTTCTTTTCATAGAGGAGCTTGGAAACACACTGTTTGTAAAGTCTGCAATTGGATATATGGACCTGTTTGAGGCTTCCGTTGGAAACGGGATTTCTTCATTGAATGCTAGACGGAAGAATTCTCAGTAAATTCTTTGTGTTGTGTGCATTCAACTCACAGAGTGGAACGTCCCTTTAGACAGAGCAGATTTGAAACACTCTTTTTGCGGAATTTGCAAGTGGAGATTTCTAGCCATTTGATGCCAACAGCAGAAAGGGAAATATCTTCAAATAAAATCCAGACAGAATCATTCTCAGAAAATTCTTTGTGATGTGTGCGTTCAACTCACATAGTTTAACCTTTCTTTTCATAGAGCAGTTTGGAAACACTCTGTTTGTAAAGTCTGCAAGTGGATATATGGACCGCATTGAGGCCTTCGTTGGAAACGGGATTTCTTCATTTCATGCTAGACAGAAGAATTCTCAGTAACTTCTTTGTGCTGTGTGTATTCAACTCACAGAGTGGAACGTCCCTTTACACAGAGCAGATTTGAAACACTCTTTTTGTGGAGTTTGCAAGTGGAGATTTCAAGCGATTTGATGCCAACAGTAGAAAAGGAAATATCTTCAAAGAAAAACTAGACAGAATCATTCTCAGAAACTACTTTGTGATGTGTGCCTTCAACTCACAGAGTTTAACCTTTCTTTTCTTAGAGCAGTTTAGAAACACTCTGCTTGTTATGTCTGCAAGTGGATATTTGGACCTCTTTGAGGCCTTCGTTGCAAACGGGGTTTCTTCCTTTCATGCTAGACTAAGAAGAGTTCTCAGTAACTTTTTTGTGTTGTGTGTATTCAACTCACAGAGTTGAACCTTGCTTTAGAGAGAGCAGATTTGAAACACTCTTGCTGTGGCATTTTCAGGTGGAGATTTCAAGCGATTTGAGGACAATTGCAGAAAAGGAAATATCTTCGTATAATAACCAGACAGAATCATTCTCAGAAAGTGCTTTGTGATGTGTGCGTTCCACTCACAGAGTTTAACCTTTCTTTTCATAGAGGAGTTTGGAAACACACTGTTTGTAAACTCTGCAAGTGGATATATGGACCTGTTTGAGGCCTTCGTTGGAAACGGGATTTCTTCATTGAATGCTAGACGGAAGAATTCTCAGTAAATTCTTTGTGTTGTGTGCATTCAACTCACAGAGTGGAACGTCCCTTTAGACAGAGCAGATTTGAAACACTCTTTTTGCGGAATTTGCAAGTGGAGATTTCTAGCCATTTGATGCCAACAGTAGAAAGGGAAATATCTTCAAATAAAAACCAGACAGAATCATTCTCAGAAAATTCTTTGTGATGTGTGCGTTCAACTCACATAGTTTAACCTTTCTTTTCATAGAGCAGTTTGGAAACACTCTGTTTGTAAAGTCTGCAAGTGGATATATGGACCGCATTGAGGCCTTCGTTGGAAACGGGATTTCTTCATTTCATGCTAGACAGAAGAATTCTCAGTAACTTCTTTGTGCTGTGTGTATTCAACTCACAGAGTGGAACGTCCCTTTACACAGAGCAGATTTGAAACACTCTTTTTGTGGAGTTTGCAAGTGGAGATTTCAAGCGATTTGATGCCAACAGTAGAAAAGGAAATATCTTCAAATAAAAACTAGACAGAATCATTCTCAGAAACTACTTTGTGATGTGTGCCTTCAACTCACAGAGTTTAACCTTTCTTTTCTTAGAGCAGTTTAGAAACACTCTGCTTGTTATGTCTGCAAGTGGATATTTGGACCTACTTTGAGGCCTTCGTTGCAAACGGGGTTTCTTCCTTTAATGCTAGACTAAGAAGAGTTCTCAGTAACTTTTTTGTGTTGTGTGTATTCAACTCACAGAGTTGAACCTTGCTTTAGAGAGAGCAGATTTGAAACACTCTCGCTGTGGAATTTTCAGGTGGAGATTTCAAGCGATTTGAGGACAATTGCAGAAAAGGAAATATCTTCGTATAATAACCAGACAGAATCATTCTCAGAAAGTGCTTTGTGATGTGTGCGTTCAACTCACAGAGTTTAACCTTTCTTTTCATAGAGGAGTTTGGAAACACACTGTTTGTAAAGTCTGCAATTGGATATATGGACCTGTTTGAGGCCTTCGTTGGAAACGGGATTTCTTCATTGAATGCTAGACGGAAGAATTCTCAGTAAATTCTTTGTGTTGTGTGCATTCAACTCACAGAGTGGAACGTCCCTTTAGACAGAGCAGATTTGAAAAACTCTTTTTGCGGAATTTGCAAGTGGAGATTTCTAGCCATTTGATGCCAACAGTAGAAAGGGAAATATCTTCAAATAAAAACCAGACAGAATCATTCTCAGAAAATTCTTTGTGATGTGTGCGTTCAACTCACATAGTTTAACCTTTCTTTTCATAGAGCAGTTTGGAAACACTCTGTTTGTAAAGTCTGCAAGTGGATATATGGACCGCATTGAGGCCTTCGTTGGAAACGGGATTTCTTCATTTCATGCTAGACAGAAGAATTCTCAGTAACTTCTTTGTGCTGTGTGTACTCAACTCACAGAGTGGAACGTTCCTTTACACAGAGCAGATTTGAAACACTCATTTTGTGGAATTTGCAAGTGGAGATTTCAAGCGATTTGATGCCAACAGTAGAAAAGGAAATATCTTCAAATAAAAACTAGACAGAATCATTCTCAGAAACTACTTTGTGATGTGTGCCTTCAACTCACAGAGTTTAACCTTTCTTTTCTTAGAGCAGTTTAGAAACACTCTGCTTGTTATGTCTGCAAGTGGATATTTGGACCTCTTTGAGGCCTTCGTTGCAAACGGGGTTTCTTCCTTTCATGCTAGACTAAGAAGAGTTCTCAGTAACTTTTTTGTGTTGTGTGTATTCAACTCACAGAGTTGAACCTTGCTTTAGAGAGAGCAGATTTGAAACACTCTTGCTGTGGCATTTTCAGGTGGAGATTTCAAGCGATTTGAGGACAATTGCAGAAAAGGAAATATCTTCGTATAATAACCAGACAGAATCATTCTCAGAAAGTGCTTTGTGATGTGTGCGTTCAACTCACAGAGTTTAACCTTTCTTTTCATAGAGGAGTTTGGAAACACACTGTTTGTAAAGTCTGCAATTGGATATATGGACCTGTTTGAGGCCTTCGTTGGAAACGGGATTTCTTCATTGAATGCTAGACGGAAGAATTCTCAGTAAATTCTTTGTGTTGTGTGCATTCAACTCACAGAGTGGAACGTCCCTTTAGACAGAGCAGATTTGAAACACTCTTTTTGCGGAATTTGCAAGTGGAGATTTCTAGCCATTTGATGCCAACAGTAGAAAGGGAAATATCTTCAAATAAAAACCAGACAGAATCATTCTCAGAAAATTCTTTGTGATGTGTGCGTTCAACTCACATAGTTTAACCTTTCTTTTCATAGAGCAGTTTGGAAACACTCTGTTTGTAAAGTCTGCAAGTGGATATATGGACCGCATTGAGGCCTTCGTTGGAAACGGGATTTCTTCATTTCATGCTAGACAGAAGAATTCTCAGTAACTTCTTTGTGCTGTGTGTATTCAACTCACAGAGTGGAACGTCCCTTTGCACAGAGCAGATTTGAAACACTCTTTTTGTGGAATTTGCAAGTGGAGATTTCAAGCGATTTGATGCCAACAGTAGAAAAGGAAATATCTTCAAATAAAAACTAGACAGAATCATTCTCAGAAACTACTTTGTGATGTGTGCCTTCAACTCACAGAGTTTAACCTTTCTTTTCTTAGAGCAGTTTAGAAACACTCTGCTTGTTATGTCTGCAAGTGGATATTTGGACCTCTTTGAGGCCTTCGTTGCAAACGGGGTTTCTTCTTTCATGCTAGACTAAGAAGAGTTCTCAGTAACTTTTTTGTGTTCTGTGTATTCAACTCACAGAGTTGAACCTTGCTTTAGAGAGAGCAGATTTGAAACACTCTTGCTGTGGCATTTTCAGGTGGAGATTTCAAGCGATTTGAGGACAATTGCAGAAAAGGAAATATCTTCGTATAATAACCAGACAGAATCATTCTCAGAAAGTGCTTTGTGATGTGTGCGTTCAACTCACAGAGTTTAACCTTTCTTTTCATAGAGGAGTTTGGAAACACACTGTTTGTAAAGTCTGCAATTGGATATATGGACCTGTTTGAGGCCTTCGTTGGAAACGGGATTTCTTCATTGAATGCTAGACGGAAGAATTCTCAGTAAATTCTTTGTGTTGTGTGCATTCAACTCACAGAGTGGAACGCCCCCTAAAGACAGAGCAGATTTGAAACACTCCTTTTCTGGAATTTGGAAATGGAGATTTCAAGCCTTTTGATGCCAACAGTAGAAAGGGAAATATCTTCAAATAAAAACTAGACAGAATCATTCTCAGAAAATTCTTTGTGATGTGTGCGTTCAACTCACATAGTTTAACCTTTCTTTTCATAGAGCAGTTTGGAAACACTCTGTTTGTAAAGTCTGCAAGTGGATATATGGACCGCATTGAGGCCTTCGTTGGAAACGGGATTTCTTCATTTCATGCTAGACAGAAGAATTCTCAGTAACTTCTTTGTGCTGTGTGTATTCAACTCACAGAGTGGAACGTCCCTTTGCACAGAGCAGATTTGAAACACTCTTTTTGTGGAGTTTGCAAGTGGAGATTTCAAGCGATTTGATGCCAACAGTAGAAAAGGAAATATCTTCAAATAAAAACTAGACAGAATCATTCTCAGAAACTACTTTGTGATGTGTGCCTTCAACTCACAGAGTTTAACCTTTCTTTTCTTAGAGCAGTTTAGAAACACTCTGCTTGTTATGTCTGCAAGTGGATATTTGGACCTCTTTGAGGCCTTCGTTGCAAACGGGGTTTCTTCTTTCATGCTAGACTAAGAAGAGTTCTCAGTAACTTTTCTGTGTTGTGTGTATTCAACTCACAGAGTTGAACCTTGCTTTAGAGAGAGCAGATTTGAAACACTCTTGCTGTGGCATTTTCAGGTGGAGATTTCAAGCGTTTTGAGGACAATTGCAGAAAAGGAAATATCTTCGTATAATAACCAGACAGAATCATTCTCAGAAAGTGCTTTGTGATGTGTGCGTTCAACTCACAGAGTTTAACCTTTCTTTTCATAGAGGAGTTTGGAAACACACTGTTTGTAAAGTCTGCAAGTGGATATATGGACCTGTTTGAGGCCTTCGTTGGAAACGGGATTTCTTCATTGAATGCTAGACGGAAGAATTCTCAGTAAATTCTTTGTGTTGTGTGCATTCAACTCACAGAGTGGAACTTCCCTTTAGACAGAGCACATTTGAAACACTCTTTTTGCGGAATTTGCAAGTGGAGATTTCTAGCCATTTGATGCCAACAGTAGAAAGGGAAATATCTTCAAATAAAAACTAGACAGAATCATCCTCAGAAAATTCTTTGTGATGTGTGCGTTCAACTCACATAGTTTAACCTTTCTTTTCATAGAGCAGTTTGGAAACACTCTGTTGGTAATGTCTGCAAGTGGATATATGGACCGCTTTGAGGCCTTCGTTGGAAACGGGATTTCTTCATTTCAGGCTAGACAGAAGAATTCTCAGTAACTTCTTTGTGTTGTGTGCATTCAACTCACAGAATGGAACGTCCCTTTACACAGAGCAGATTTGAAACACTCTTTTTGTGGAATTTGCAAGTGGAGATTTCAAGCGATTTGATGCCAACAGTAGAAAAGGAAATATCTGCAAATAAAAACTAGACAGAACCATTCTCAGAAACTACTTTGTGATGTGTGCCTTCAACTCACAGAGTTTAACCTTTCTTTTCTTAGAGCAGTTTAGAAACACTCTGCTTGTTATGTCTGCAAGTGGATATTTGGACCTCTTTGAGGCCTTCGTTGCAAACGGGGTTTCTTCCTTTCATGCTAGACTAAGAAGAGTTCTCAGTAACTTTTTTGTGTTGTGTGTATTCAACTCACAGAGTTGAACCTTGCTTTAGAGAGAGCAGATTTGAAACACTCTTGCTGTGGCATTTTCAGGTGGAGATTTCAAGCGATTTGAGGACAATTGCAGAAAAGGAAATATCTTCGTATAACAACCAGACAGAATCATTCTCAGAAAGTGCTTTGTGATGTGTGCGTTCCACTCACAGAGTTTAACCTTTCTTTTCATAGAGGAGTTTGGAAACACACTGTTTGTAAAGTCTGCAAGTGGATATATGGACCTGTTTGAGGCCTTCGTTGGAAACGGGATTTCTTCATTGAATGCTAGACGGAAGAATTCTCAGTAAATTCTTTGTGTGGTGTGCATTCAACTCACAGAGTGGAACGTCCCTTTAGACAGAGCAGATTTGAAACACTCTTTTTGCGGAATTTGCAAGTGGAGATTTCTAGCCATTTGATGCCAACAGTAGAAAGGGAAATATCTTCAAATAAAAACCAGACAGAATCATTCTCAGAAAATTCTTTGTGATGTGTGCGTTCAACTCACATAGTTTAACCTTTCTTTTCATAGAGCAGTTTGGAAACACTCTGTTTGTAAAGTCTGCAAGTGGATATATGGACCGCATTGAGGCCTTCGTTGGAAACGGGATTTCTTCATTTCATGCTAGACAGAAGAATTCTCAGTAACTTCTTTGTGCTGTGTGTATTCAACTCACAGAGTGGAACGTTCCTTTACACAGAGAAGATTTGAAACACTCTTTTTGTGGAATTTGCAAGTGGAGATTTCAAGCGATTTGATGCCAACAGTAGAAAAGGAAATATCTTCAAATAAAAACTAGACAGAATCATTCTCAGAAACTACTTTGTGATGTGTGCCTTCAACTCACAGAGTTTAACCTTTCTTTTCTTAGAGCAGTTTAGAAACACTCTGCTTGTTATGTCTGCAAGTGGATATTTGGACCTCTTTGAGGCCTTCGTTGCAAACGGGGTTTCTTCCTTTCATGCTAGACTAAGAAGAGTTCTCAGTAACTTTTTTGTGTTGTGTGTATTCAACTCACAGAGCTGAACCTTGCTTTAGAGAGAGCAGATTTGAAACACTCTTGCTGTGGCATTTTCAGGTGGAGATTTCAAGCGATTTGAGGACAATTGCAGAAAAGGAAATATCTTCGTATAACAACCAGACAGAATCATTCTCAGAAAGTGCTTTGTGATGTGTGCATTCAACTCACGGAGTTTAACCTTTCTTTTCATTGAGGAGTTTGTAAACACACTGTTTGTAAAGTCTGCAATTGGATATATGGACCTGTTTGAGGCCTTCGTTGGAAACGGGATTTCTTCATTGAATGCTAGACGGAAGAATTCTCAGTAAATTCTTTGTGTTGTGTGCATTCAACTGAC
Organism: Homo sapiens; assembly: GCF_000001405.40. Classification (NCBI taxonomy): domain Eukaryota; kingdom Metazoa; phylum Chordata; class Mammalia; order Primates; family Hominidae; genus Homo; species Homo sapiens. The sequence goes on from NC_000007.14 coordinate 60,758,777, forward strand.
AGAGTGGAACGTCCCTTTAGACAGAGCAGATTTGAAACACTCTTTTTGCGGAATTTGCAAGTGGAGATTTTTAGCCATTTGATGCCAACAGTAGAAAGGGAAATATCTTCAAATAAAAACCAGACAGAATCATTCTCAGAAAATTCTTTGTGATGTGTGCGTTCAACTCACATAGTTTAACCTTTCTTTTCATAGAGCAGTTTGGAAACACTCTGTTTGTAAAGTCTGCAAGTGGATATATGGACCGCATTGAGGCCTTCGTTGGAAACGGGATTTCTTCATTTCATGCTAGACAGAAGAATTCTCAGTAACTTCTTTGTGCTGTGTGTATTCAACTCACAGAGTGGAACGTCCCTTTGCACAGAGCAGATTTGAAACACTCTTTTTGTGGAATTTGCAAGTGGAGATTTCAAGCGATTTGATGCCAACAGTAGAAAAGGAAATATCTTCAAATAAAAACTAGACAGAATCATTCTCAGAAACGACTTTGTGATGTGTGCCTTCAACTCACAGAGTTTAACCTTTCTTTTCTTAGAGCAGTTTAGAAACACTCTGCTTGTTATGTCTGCAAGTGGATATTTGGACCTCTTTGAGGCCTTCGTTGCAAACGGGATTTCTTCCTTTAATGCTAGACTAAGAAGAGTTCTCAGTAACTTTTTTGTGTTGTGTGTATTCAACTCACAGAGTTGAACCTTGCTTTAGAGAGAGCAGATTTGAAACACTCTTGCTGTGGCATTTTCAGGTGGAGATTTCAAGCGATTTGAGGACAATTGCAGAAAAGGAAATATCTTCGTATAATAACCAGACAGAATCATTCTCAGAAAGTGCTTTGTGATGTGTGCGTTCAACTCACAGAGTTTAACCTTTCTTTTCATAGAGGAGTTTGGAAACACACTGTTTGTAAAGTCTGCAAGTGGATATATGGACCGCTTTGAGGCATTCGTTGGAAACGGGATTTCTTCATTGAATGCTAGACAGAAGAATTCTCAGTAAATTCTTTGTGTTGTGTGCATTCAACTGACAGAGTGGAACGTCCCTTTAGACAGAGCAGATTTGAAACACTCTTTTTGCGGAATTTGCAAGTGGAGATTTCTAGCCATTTGATGCCAACAGTAGAAAGGGAAATATCTTCAAATAAAAACCAGACAGAATCATTCTCAGAAAATTCTTTGTGATGTGTGCGTTCAACTCACATAGTTTAACCTTTCTTTTCATAGAGCAGTTTGGAAACACTCTGTTTGTAAAGTCTGCAAGTGGATATATGGACCGCATTGAGGCCTTCGTTGGAAACGGGATTTCTTCATTTCATGCTAGACAGAAGAATTCTCAGTAACTTCTTTGTGCTGTGTGTATTCAACTCACAGAGTGGAACGTCCCTTTACACAGAGCAGATTTGAAACACTCTTTTTGTGGAGTTTGCAAGTGGAGATTTCAAGCGATTTGATGCCAACAGTAGAAAAGGAAATATCTTCAAATAAAAACTAGACAGAATCATTCTCAGAAACTACTTTGTGATGTGTGCCTTCAACTCACAGAGTTTAACCTTTCTTTTCTTAGAGCAGTTTAGAAACACTCTGCTTGTTATGTCTGCAAGTGGATATTTGGACCTCTTTGAGGCCTTCGTTGCAAACGGGGTTTCTTCCTTTCATGCTAGACTAAGAAGAGTTCTCAGTAACTTTTTTGTGTTGTGTGTATTCAACTCACAGAGTTGAACCTTGCTTTAGAGAGAGCAGATTTGAAACACTCTTGCTGTGGCATTTTCAGGTGGAGATTTCAAGCGATTTGAGGACAATTGCAGAAAAGGAAATATCTTCGTATAATAACCAGACAGAATCATTCTCAGAAAGTGCTTTGTGATGTGTGCGTTCCACTCACAGAGTTTAACCTTTCTTTTCATAGAGGAGTTTGGAAACACACTGTTTGTAAAGTCTGCAAGTGGATATATGGACCTGTTTGAGGCCTTCGTTGGAAACGGGATTTCTTCATTGAATGCTAGACGGAAGAATTCTCAGTAAATTCTTTGTGTTGTGTGCATTCAACTGACAGAGTGGAACGTCCCTTTAGACAGAGCAGATTTGAAACACTCTTTTTGCGGAATTTGCAAGTGGAGATTTCTAGCCATTTGATGCCAACAGTAGAAAGGGAAATATCTTCAAATAAAAACCAGACAGAATCATTCTCAGAAAATTCTTTGTGATGTGTGCGTTCAACTCACAATAGTATAACCTTTCTTTTCATAGAGCAGTTTGGAAACACTCTGTTTGTAAAGTCTGCAAGTGGATATATGGACCGCATTGAGGCCTTCGTTGGAAACGGGATTTCTTCATTTCATGCTAGACAGAAGAATTCTCAGTAACTTCTTTGTGCTGTGTGTATTCAACTCACAGAGTGGAACGTCCCTTTACACAGAGCAGATTTGAAACACTCTTTTTGTGGAGTTTGCAAGTGGATATTTCAAGCGATTTGATGCCAACAGTAGAAAAGGAAATATCTTCAAATAAAAACTAGACAGAATCATTCTCAGAAACTACTTTGTGATGTCTGCCTTCAACTCACAGAGTTTAACCTTTCTTTTCTTAGAGCAGTTTAGAAACACTCTGCTTGTTATGTCTGCAAGTGGATATTTGGACCTTCTTTGAGGCCTTCGTTGCAAACGGGGTTTCTTCCTTTCATGCTAGACTAAGAAGAGTTCTCAGTAACTTTTTTGTGTTGTGTGTATTCAACTCACAGAGCTGAACCTTGCTTTAGAGAGAGCAGATTTGAAACACTCTTGCTGTGGCATTTTCAGGTGGAGATTTCAAGCGATTTGAGGACAATTGCAGAAAAGGAAATATCTTCGTATAACAACCAGACAGAATCATTCTCAGAAAGTGCTTTGTGTTGTGTGCGTTCAACTCACAGAGTTTAACCTTTCTTTTCATAGAGGAGTTTGGAAACACACTGTTTGTAAAGTCTGCAATTGGATATATGGACCTGTTTGAGGCCTTCGTTGGAAACGGGATTTCTTCATTGAATGCTAGACGGAAGAATTCTCAGTAAATTCTTTGTGTGGTGTGCATTCAACTCACAGAGTGGAACGTCCCTTTAGACAGAGCAGATTTGAAACACTCTTTTTGCGGAATTTGCAAGTGGAGATTTCTAGCCATTTGATGCCAACAGTAGAAAGGGAAATATCTTCAAATAAAAACCAGACAGAATCATTCTCAGAAAATTCTTTGTGATGTGTGCGTTCAACTCACATAGTTTAACCTTTCTTTTCATAGAGCAGTTTGGAAACACTCTGTTTGTAAAGTCTGCAAGTGGATATATGGACCGCATTGAGGCCTTCGTTGGAAACGGGATTTCTTCATTTCATGCTAGACAGAAGAATTCTCAGTAACTTCTTTGTGCTGTGTGTATTCAACTCACAGAGTGGAACGTCCCTTTGCACAGAGCAGATTTGAAACACTCTTTTTGTGGAATTTGCAAGTGGAGATTTCAAGCGATTTGATGCCAACAGTAGAAAAGGAAATATCTTCAAATAAAAACTAGACAGAATCATTCTCAGAAACTACTTTGTGATGTGTGCCTTCAACTCACAGAGTTTAACCTTTCTTTTCTTAGAGCAGTTTAGAAACACTCTGCTTGTTATGTCTGCAAGTGGATATTTGGACCTCTTTGAGGCCTTCGTTGCAAACGGGGTTTCTTCCTTTCATGCTAGACTAAGAAGAGTTCTCAGTAACTTTTTTGTGTTGTGTGTATTCAACTCACAGAGTTGAACCTTGCTTTAGAGAGAGCAGATTTGAAACACTCTTGCTGTGGCATTTTCAGGTGGAGATTTCAAGCGATTTGAGGACAATTGCAGAAAAGGAAATATCTTCGTATAATAACCAGACAGAATCATTCTCAGAAAGTGCTTTGTGATGTGTGCGTTCCACTCACAGAGTTTAACCTTTCTTTTCATAGAGGAGTTTGGAAACACACTGTTTGTAAAGTCTGCAAGTGGATATATGGACCTGTTTGAGGCCTTCGTTGGAAACGGGATTTCTTCATTGAATGCTAGACGGAAGAATTCTCAGTAAATTCTTTGTGTTGTCTGCATTCAACTCACAGAGTGGAACGTCCTTTTAGACAGAGCAGATTTGAAACACTCTTTGTCTGGAATTTGCAAATGGAGATTTCAAGCGATTTGATGACAACAGTAGAAAAGGAAATATCTTCAAATAAAAACCAGACAGAATCATTCTCAGAAAATTCTTTGTGATGTGTGCGTTCAACTCACATAGTTTAACCTTTCTTTTCATAGAGCAGTTTGGAAACACTCTGTTTGTAAAGTCTGCAAGTGGATATATAGACCGCATTGAGGCCTTCGTTGGAAACGGGATTTCTTCATTTCATGCTAGACAGAAGAATTCTCAGTAACTTCTTTGTGCTGTGTGTATTGAACTCACAGAGTGGAACGTCCCTTTGCACAGAGCAGATTTGAAACACTCTTTTTGTGGAATTTGCAAGTGGAGATTTCAAGCGATCTGATGCCAACAGTAGAAAAGGAAATATCTTCAAATAAAAACTAGACAGAATCATTCTCAGAAACTACTTTGTGATGTGTGCCTTCAACTCACAGAGTTTAACCTTTCTTTTCTTAGAGCAGTTTAGAAACACTCTGCTTGTTATGTCTGCAAGTGGATATTTGGACCTCTTTGAGGCCTTCGTTGCAAACGGGGTTTCTTCCTTTAATGCTAGACTAAGAAGAGTTCTCAGTAACTTTTTTGTGTTGTGTGTATTCAACTCACAGAGTTGAACCTTGCTTTAGAGAGAGCAGATTTGAAACACTCTTGCTGTGGCATTTTCAGGTGGAGATTTCAAGCGATTTGAGGACAATTGCAGAAAAGGAAATATCTTCGTATAATAACCAGACAGAATCATTCTCAGAAAGTGCTTTGTGATGTGTGCGTTCAACTCACAGAGTTTAACCTTTCTTTTCATAGAGGAGTTTGGAAACACACTGTTTGTAACGTCTGCAAGTGGATATATGGACCTGTTTGAGGCCTTCGTTGGAAACGGGATTTCTTCATTGAATGCTAGACGGAAGAATTCTCAGTAAATTCTTTGTGTTGTGTGCATTCAACTCACAGAGTGGAACGTCCCTTTAGACAGAGCAGATTTGAAACACTCTTTTTGTGGAATTTGCAAGTGGAGATTTCTAGCCATTTGATGCCAACAGTAGAAAGGGAAATATCTTCAAATAAAAACCAGACAGAATCATTCTCAGAAAATTCTTTGTGATGTGTGCGTTCAACTCACATAGTTTAACCTTTCTTTTCATAGAGCAGTTTGGAAACACTCTGTTTGTAAAGTCTGCAAGTGGATATATGGACCGCATTGAGGCCTTCGTTGGAAACGGGATTTCTTCATTTCATGCTAGACAGAAGAATTCTCAGTAACTTCTTTGTGCTGTGTGTATTCAACTCACAGAGTGGAACGTCCCTTTGCACAGAGCAGATTTGAAACACTCTTTTTGTGGAGTTTGCAAGTGGAGATTTCAAGCGATTTGATGCCAACAGTAGAAAAGGAAATATCTTCAAATAAAAACTAGACAGAATCATTCTCAGAAACTACTTTGTGATGTGTGCCTTCAACTCACAGAGTTTAACCTTTCTTTTCTTAGAGCAGTTTAGAAACACTCTGCTTGTTATGTCTGCAAGTGGATATTTGGACCTCTTTGAGGCCTTCGTTGCAAACGGGGTTTCTTCCTTTAATGCTAGACTAAGAAGAGTTCTCAGTAACTTTTTTGTGTTGTGTGTATTCAACTCACAGAGTTGAACCTTGCTTTAGAGAGAGCAGATTTGAAACACTCTTGCTGTGGTATTTTCAGGTGGAGATTTCAAGCGATTTGAGGACAATTGCAGAAAAGGAAATATCTTCGTATAACAACCAGACAGATAATCATTCTCAGAAAGTGCTTTGTGATGTGTGCGTTCCACTCACAGAGTTTAACCTTTCTTTTCATAGAGGAGTTTGGAAACACACTGTTTGTAAAGTCTGCAAGTGGATATATGGACCTGTTTGAGGCCTTCGTTGGAAACGGGATTTCTTCATTGAATGCTAGACGGAAGAATTCTCAGTAAATTCTTTGTGTTGTGTGCATTCAACTCACAGAGTGGAACGTCCCTTTAGACAGAGCAGATTTGAAACACTCTTTTTGCGGAATTTGCAAGTGGAGATTTCTAGCCATTTGATGCCAACAGTAGAAAGGGAAATATCTTCAAATAAAAACCAGACAGAATCATTCTCAGAAAATTCTTTGTGATGTGTGCGTTCAACTCACATAGTTTAACCTTTCTTTTCATAGAGCAGTTTGGGAACACTCTGTTTGTAAAGTCTGCAAGTGGATATATGGACCGCATTGAGGCCTTCGTTGGAAACGGGATTTCTTCATTTCATGCTAGACAGAGAATTCTCAGTAACTTCTTTGTGCTGTGTGTATTCAACTCACAGAGTGGAACGTCCCTTTGCACAGAGCAGATTTGAAACACTCTTTTTGTGGAATTTGCAAGTGGAGATTTCAAGCGATTTGATGCCAACAGTAGAAAAGGAAATATCTTCAAATAAAAACTAGACAGAATCATTCTCAGAAACTACTTTGTGATGTGTGCCTTCAACTCACAGAGTTTAACCTTTCTTTTCTTAGAGCAGTTTAGAAACACTCTGCTTGTTATGTCTGCAAGTGGATATTTGGACCTCTTTGAGGCCTTCGTTGCAAACGGGGTTTCTTCCTTTCATGCTAGACTAAGAAGAGTTCTCAGTAACTTTTTTGTGTTGTGTGTATTCAACTCACAGAGTTGAACCTTGCTTTAGAGAGAGCAGATTTGAAACACTCTTGCTGTGGCATTTTCAGGTGGAGATTTCAAGCGTTTTGAGGACAATTGCAGAAAAGGAAATATCTTCGTATAATAACCAGACAGAATCATCCTCAGAAAATTCTTTGTGATGTGTGCGTTCAACTCACATAGTTTAACCTTTCTTTTCATAGACAAGTCTGGAAACACTCTGTTGGTAATATCTGCAAGTGGATATATGGACCGCTTTGAGGACTTCGTTGGAAACGGGATTTCTTAATTTCATGCTAGACAGAAGAATTCTCAGTAACTTCTTTGTGTTGTGTGTATTCAACTGACAGATTGGAATATCCCATTACATAGAGCAGTTTTGAAACACTCTTTTTGTGGAATTTAAAAGTGGAGAATTCAAGCGATTTGATGCCAACAGTTGAAAAGGAAATATCTTCAAATAAAAACTAGACAGAATCATTCTCAGAAAATTCTTTGTGATGTGTGCGTTCAGCTCACATGGTTTAACCTTTCTTTTCATAGAGCAGTTTCGAAACACACTGTAAAATCTGCAAGTGGATATATGTACCGCTTTGAGGCATTCCTTGGAAACGGGATTTCTTCATTGAATGCTAGACAGAAGAATTCTCAGTAACTTCTTTGTGCTGTGTGTATTCAACTCACAGAGTGGAACGTCCCTTTACACAGAGCAGATTTGAAACACTCTTTTTGTGGAGTTTGCAAGTGGAGATTTCAAGCGATTTGATGCCAACAGTAGAAAAGGAAATATCTTCAAATAAAAACTAGACAGAATCATTCTCAGAAACTACTTTGTGATGTGTGCCTTCAACTCACAGAGTTTAACCTTTCTTTTCTTAGAGCAGTTTAGAAACACTCTGCTTGTTATGTCTGCAAGTGGATATTTGGACCTCTTTGAGGCCTTCGTTGCAAACGGGGTTTCTTCCTTTCATGCTAGACTAAGAAGAGTTCTCAGTAACTTTTTTGTGTTGTGTGTATTCAACTCACAGAGTTGAACCTTGCTTTAGAGAGAGCAGATTTGAAACACTCTTGCTGTGGCATTTTCAGGTGGAGATTTCAAGCGATTTGAGGACAATTGCAGAAAAGGAAATATCTTCGTATAATAACCAGACAGAATCATTCTCAGAAAGTGCTTTGTGATGTGTGCGTTCAACTCACAGAGTTTAACCTTTCTTTTCATTGAGGAGTTTGGAAACACACTGTTTGTAAAGTCTGCAATTGGATATATGGACCTGTTTGAGGCCTTCGTTGGAAACGGGATTTCTTCATTGAATGCTAGACGGAAGAATTCTCAGTAAATTCTTTGTGTTGTGTGCATTCAACTCACAGAGTGGAACGTCCCTTTAGACAGAGCAGATTTGAAACACTCTTTTTGCGGAATTTGCAAGTGGAGATTTCTAGCCATTTGATGCCAACAGTAGAAAGGGAAATATCTTCAAATAAAAACCAGACAGAATCATTCTCAGAAAATTCTTTGTGATGTGTGCGTTCAACTCACATAGTTTAACCTTTCTTTTCATAGAGCAGTTTGGAAACACTCTGTTTGTAAGTCTGCAAGTGGATATATGGACCGCATTGAGGCCTTCGTTGGAAACGGGATTTCTTCATTTCATGCTAGACAGAAGAATTCTCAGTAACTTCTTTGTGCTGTGTGTATTCAACTCACAGAGTGGAACGTCCCTTTGCACAGAGCAGATTTGAAACACCTTTTTGTGGAATTTGCAAGTGGAGATTTCAAGCGATTTGATGCCAACAGTAGAAAAGGAAATATCTTCAAATAAAAACTAGACAGAATCATTCTCAGAAACTACTTTGTGATGTGTGCCTTCAACTCACAGAGTTTAACCTTTCTTTTCTTAGAGCAGTTTAGAAACACTCTGCTTGTTATGTCTGCAAGTGGATATTTGGACCTCTTTGAGGCCTTCGTTGCAAACGGGGTTTCTTCCTTTCATGCTAGACTAAGAAGAGTTCTCAGTAACTTTTTTGTGTTGTGTGTATTCAACTCACAGAGTTGAACCTTGCTTTAGAGAGAGCAGATTTGAAACACTCTTGCTGTGGCATTTTCAGGTGGAGATTTCAAGCGATTTGAGGACAATTGCAGAAAAGGAAATATCTTCGTATAATAACCAGACAGAATCATTCTCAGAAAGTGCTTTGTGATGTGTGCGTTCCACTCACAGAGTTTAACCTTTCTTTTCATAGAGGAGTTTGGAAACACACTGTTTGTAAAGTCTGCAAGTGGATATATGGACCTGTTTGAGGCCTTCGTTGGAAACGGGATTTCTTCATTGAATGCTAGACGGAAGAATTCTCAGTAAATTCTTTGTGTTGTGTGCATTCAACTGACAGAGTGGAACGTCCCTTTAGACAGAGCAGATTTGAAACACTCTTTTTGCGGAATTTGCAAGTGGAGATTTCTAGCCATTTGATGCCAACAGTAGAAAGGGAAATATCTTCAAATAAAAACCAGACAGAATCATTCTCAGGAAAATTCTTTGTGATGTGTGCGTTCAACTCACATAGTTTTACCTTTCTTTTCATAGAGCAGTTTGGAAACACTCTGTTTGTAAAGTCTGCAAGTGGATATATGGACCGCATTGAGGCCTTCGTTGGAAACGGGATTTCTTCATTTCCTGCTAGACAGAAGAATTCTCAGTAACTTCTTTGTGCTGTGTGTATTCAACTCACAGAGTGGAACGTCCCTTTACACAGAGCAGATTTGAAACACTCTTTTTGTGGAGTTTGCAAGTGGAGATTTCAAGCGATTTGATGCCAACAGTAGAAAAGGAAATATCTTCAAATAAAAACTAGACAGAATCATTCTCAGAAACTACTTTGTGATGTGTGCCTTCAACTCACAGAGTTTAACCTTTCTTTTCTTAGAGCAGTTTAGAAACACTCTGCTTGTTATGTCTGCAAGTGGATATTTGGACCTCTTTGAGGCCTTCGTTGCAAACGGGGTTTCTTCCTTTCATGCTAGACTAAGAAGAGTTCTCAGTAACTTTTTTGTGTTGTGTGTATTCAACTCACAGAGTTGAACCTTGCTTTAGAGAGAGCAGATTTGAAACACTCTTGCTGTGGCATTTTCAGGTGGAGATTTCAAGCGATTTGAGGACAATTGCAGAAAAGGAAATATCTTCGTATAATAACCAGACAGAATCATTCTCAGAAAGTGCTTTGTGATGTGTGCGTTCCACTCACAGAGTTTAACCTTTCTTTTCATAGAGGAGTTTGGAAACACACTGTTTGTAAAGTCTGCAAGTGGATATATGGACCTGTTTGAGGCCTTCGTTGGAAACGGGATTTCTTCATTGAATGCTAGACGGAAGAATTCTCAGTAAATTCTTTGTGTTGTGTGCATTCAACTCACAGAGTGGAACGTCCCTTTAGACAGAGCAGATTTGAAACACTCTTTTTGCGGAATTTGCAAGTGGAGATTTCTAGCCATTTGATGCCAACAGTAGAAAGGGAAATATCTTCAAATAAAAACCAGACAGAATCATCCTCAGAAAATTCTTTGTGATGTGTGCGTTCAACTCACATAGTTTAACCTTTCTTTTCATAGACCAGTTTGGAAACACTCTGTTGGTAATGTCTGCAAGTGGATATATGGACCGCTTTGAGGACTTCGTTGGAAACGGAATTTCTTAATTTCATGCTAGACAGAAGAATTCTCAGTAACTTCTTTGTGCTGTGTGTATTCAACTCACAGAGTGGAACATCCCTTTACACAGAGCAGATTTGAAACACTCTTTTTGTGGAGTTTGCAAGTGGAGATTTGAAGCGATTTGATGCCAACAGTAGAAAAGGATATATCTTCAAATAAAAACTAGACAGAATCATTCTCAGAAACTACTTTGTGATGTGTGCCTTCAACTCACAGAGTTTAACCTTTCTTTTCTTAGAGCAGTTTAGAAACACTCTGCTTGTTATGTCTGCAAGTGGATATTTGGACCTCTTTGAGGCCTTCGTTGCAAACGGGGTTTCTTCCTTTAATGCTAGACTAAGAAGAGTTCTCAGTAACTTTTTTGTGTTGTGTGTATTCAACTCACAGAGTTGAACCTTGCTTTAGAGAGAGCAGATTTGAAACACTCTTGCTGTGGCATTTTCAGGTGGAGATTTCAAGCGATTTGAGGACAATTGCAGAAAAGGAAATATCTTCGTATAATAACCAGACAGAATCATTCTCAGAAAGTGCTTTGTGATGTGTGCGTTCCACTCACAGAGTTTAACCTTTCTTTTCATAGAGGAGTTTGGAAACACACTGTTTGTAAAGTCTGCAAGTGGATATATGGACCTGTTTGAGGCCTTCGTTGGAAACGGGATTTCTTCATTGAATGCTAGACGGAAGAATTCTCAGTAAATTCTTTGTGTTGTGTGCATTCAACTCACAGAGTGGAACGTCCCTTTAGACAGAGCAGATTTGAAACACTCTTTTTGCGGAATTTGCAAGTGGAGATTTCTAGCCATTTGATGCCAACAGTAGAAAGGGAAATATCTTCAAATAAAAACCAGACAGAATCATTCTCAGAAAATTCTTTGTGATGTGTGCGTTCAACTCACATAGTTTAACCTTTCTTTTCATAGAGCAGTTTGGAAACACTCTGTTTGTAAAGTCTGCAAGTGGATATATGGACCGCATTGAGGCCTTCGTTGGAAACGGGATTTCTTCATTTCATGCTAGACAGAAGAATTCTCAGTAACTTCTTTGTGCTGTGTGTATTCAACTCACAGAGTGGAACGTCCCTTTACACAGAGCAGATTTGAAACACTCTTTTTGTGGAATTTGCAAGTGGAGATTTCAAGCGATTTGATGCCAACAGTAGAAAAAGAAATATCTTCAAATAAAAACTAGACAGAATCATTCTCAGAAACTACTTTGTGATGTGTGCCTTCAACTCACAGAGTTTAACCTTTCTTTTCTTAGAGCAGTTTAGAAACACTCTGCTTGTTATGTCTGCAAGTGGATATTTGGACCTCTTTGAGGCCTTCGTTGCAAACGGGGTTTCTTCCTTTCATGCTAGACTAAGAAGAGTTCTCAGTAACTTTTTTGTGTTGTGTGTATTCAACTCACAGAGTTGAACCTTGCTTTAGAGAGAGCAGATTTGAAACACTCTTGCTGTGGCATTTTCAGGTGGAGATTTCAAGCGATTTGAGGACAATTGCAGAAAAGGAAATATCTTCGTATAATAACCAGACAGAATCATTCTCAGAAAGTGCTTTGTGATGTGTGCGTTCCACTCACAGAGTTTAACCTTTCTTTTCATAGAGGAGTTTGGAAACACACTGTTTGTAAACTCTGCAAGTGGATATATGGACCTGTTTGAGGCCTTCGTTGGAAACGGGATTTCTTCATTGAATGCTAGACGGAAGAATTCTCAGTAAATTCTTTGTGTTGTGTGCATTCAACTCACAGAGTGGATCGTCCCTTTAGACAGAGCAGATTTGAAACACTCTTTTTGCGGAATTTGCAAGTGGAGATTTCTAGCCATTTGATGCCAACAGTAGAAAGGGAAATATCTTCAAATAAAAACCAGACAGAATCATTCTCAGAAAATTCTTTGTGATGTGTGCGTTCAAATCACATAGTTTAAACTTTCTTTTCATAGAGCAGTTTGGAAACACTCTGTTTGCAAAGTCTGCAAGTGGATATATGGACCGCATTGAGGCCTTCGTTGGAAACGGGATTTCTTCATTTCATGCTAGACAGAAGAATTCTCAGTAACTTCTTTGTGCTGTGTGTATTCAACTCACAGAGTGGAACGTCCCTTTGCACAGAGCAGATTTGAAACGCTCTTTTTGTGGAATTTGCAAGTGGAGATTTCAAGCGATTTGATGCCAACAGTAGAAAAGGAAATATCTTCAAATAAAAACTAGACAGAATCATTCTCAGAAACTACTTTGTGATGTGTGCCTTCAACTCACAGAGTTTACCCTTTCTTTTCTTAGAGCAGTTTAGAAACACTCTGCTTGTTATGTCTGCAAGTGGATATTTGGACCTCTTTGAGGCCTTCGTTGCAAACGGGGTTTCTTCCTTTCATGCTAGACTAAGAAGAGTTCTCAGTAACTTTTTTGTGTTGTGTGTATTCAACTCACAGAGTTGAACCTTGCTTTAGAGAGAGCAGATTTGAAACACTCTTGCTGTGGCATTTTCAGGTGGAGATTTCAAGCGATTTGAGGACAATTGCAGAAAAGGAAATATCTTCGTATAATAACCAGACAGAATCATTCTCAGAAAGTGCTTTGTGATGTGTGCGTTCCACTCACAGAGTTTAACCTTTCTTTTCATAGAGGAGTTTGGAAACACACTGTTTGTAAACTCTGCAAGTGGATATATGGACCTGTTTGAGGCCTTCGTTGGAAACGGGATTTCTTCATTGAATGCTAGACGGAAGAATTCTCAGTAAATTCTTTGTGTTGTGTGCATTGAACTCACAGAGTGGAACGTCCCTTTACACAGAGCAGATTTGAAACACTCTTTTTGCGGAATTTGCAAGTGGAGATTTCTAGCCATTTGATGCCAACAGTAGAAAGGGAAATATCTTCAAATAAAAACCAGACAGAATCATTCTCAGAAAATTCTTTGTGATGTGTGCGTTCAACTCACAGAGTTTAACCTTTCTTTTCATAGAGCAGTTTGGAAACACTCTGTTTGTAAAGTCTGCAAGTGGATCTATGGACCGCATTGAGGCCTTCGTTGGAAACGGGATTTCTTCATTTCATGCTAGACAGAAGAATTCTCAGTAACTTCTTTGTGCTGTGTGTATTCAACTCACAGAGTGGAACGTCCCTTTGCACAGAGCAGATTTGAAACACTCTTTTTGTGGAGTTTGCAAGTGGAGATTTCAAGCGATTTGATGCCAACAGTAGAAAAGGAAATATCTTCAAATAAAAACTAGACAGAATCATTCTCAGAAACTACTTTGTGATGTGTGCCTTCAACTCACAGAGTTTAACCTTTCTTTTCTTAGAGCAGTTTAGAAACACTCTGCTTGTTATGTCTGCAAGTGGATATTTGGACCTCTTTGAGGCCTTCGTTGCAAACGGGGTTTCTTCCTTTCATGCTAGACTAAGAAGAGTTCTCAGTAACTTTTTTGTGTTGTGTGTATTCAACTCACAGAGTTGAACCTTGCTTTAGAGAGAGCAGATTTGAAACACTCTTGCTGTGGCATTTTCAGGTGGAGATTTCAAGCGATTTGAGGACAATTGCAGAAAAGGAAATATCTTCGTATAATAACCAGACAGAATCATTCTCAGAAAGTGCTTTGTGATGTGTGCGTTCAACTCACAGAGTTTAACCTTTCTTTTCATAGAGGAGTTTGGAAACACACTGTTTGTAAAGTCTGCAAGTGGATATATGGACCTGTTTGAGGCCTTCGTTGGAAACGGGATTTCTTCATTGAATGCTAGACGGAAGAATTCTCAGTAAATTCTTTGTGTTGTGTGCATTCAACTCACAGAGTGGAACGTCCCTTTAGACAGAGCAGATTTGAAACACTCTTTTTGCGGAATTTGCAAGTGGAGATTTCTAGCCATTTGATGCCAACAGTAGAAAGGGAAATATCTTCAAATAAAAAGCAGACAGAATCATTCTCAGAAAATTCTTTGTGATGTGTGCGTTCAACTCACATAGTTTAACCTTTCTTTTCATAGAGCAGTTTGGAAACACTCTGTTTGTAAAGTCTGCAAGTGGATATATGGACCGCATTGAGGCCTTCGTTGGAAACGGGATTTCTTCATTTCATGCTAGACAGAAGAATTCTCAGTATCTTCTTTGTGCTGTGTGTATTCAACTCACAGAGTGGAACGTCCCTTTGCACAGAGCAGATTTGAAACACTCTTTTTGTGGAGTTTGCAAGTGGAGATTTCAAGCGATTTGATGCCAACAGTAGAAAAGGAAATATCTTCAAATAAAAACTAGACAGAATCATTCTCAGAAACTACTTTGTGATGTGTGCCTTCAACTCACAGAGTTTAACCTTTCTTTTCTTAGAGCAGTTTAGAAACACTCTGCTTGTTATGTCTGCAAGTGGATATTTGGACCTCTTTGAGGCCTTCGTTGCAAACGGGGTTTCTTCCTTTCATGCTAGACTAAGAAGAGTTCTCAGTAACTTTTTTGTGTTGTGTGTATTCAACTCACAGAGTTGAACCTTGCTTTAGAGAGAGCAGATTTGAAACACTCTTGCTGTGGCATTTTCAGGTGGAGATTTCAAGCGATTTGAGGACAATTGCAGAAAAGGAAATATCTTCGTATAATAACCAGACAGAATCATTCTCAGAAAGTGCTTTGTGATGTGTGCGTTCAACTCACAGAGTTTAACCTTTCTTTTCATAGAGGAGTTTGGAAACACACTGTTTGTAAAGTCTGCAATTGGATATATGGACCTGTTTGAGGCCTTCGTTGGAAACGGGATTTCTTCATTGAATGCTAGACGGAAGAATTCTCAGTAAATTCTTTGTGTTGTGTGCATTCAACTCACAGAGTGGAACGTCCCTTTAGACAGAGCAGATTTGAAACACTCTTTTTGCGGAATTTGCAAGTGGAGATTTCTAGCCATTTGATGCCAACAGTAGAAAGGGAAATATCTTCAAATAAAAACCAGACAGAATCATTCTCAGAAAATTCTTTGTGATGTGTGCGTTCAACTCACATAGTTTAACCTTTCTTTTCATAGAGCAGTTTGGAAACACTCTGTTTGTAAAGTCTGCAAGTGGATATATGGACCGCATTGAGGCCTTCGTTGGAAACGGGATTTCTTCATTTCATGCTAGACAGAAGAATTCTCAGTAACTTCTTTGTGCTGTGTGTATTCAACTCACAGAGTGGAACGTCCCTTTGCACAGAGCAGATTTGAAACACTCTTTTTGTGGAGTTTGCAAGTGGAGATTTCAAGCGATTTGATGCCAATAGTAGAAAAGGAAATATCTTCAAATAAAAACTAGACAGAATCATTCTCAGAAACTACTTTGTGATGTCTGCCTTCAACTCACAGAGTTTAACCTTTCTTTTCTTAGAGCAGTTTAGAAACACTCTGCTTGTTATGTCTGCAAGTGGATATTTGGACCTCTTTGAGGCCTTCGTTGCAAACGGGGTTTCTTCCTTTCATGCTAGACTAAGAAGAGTTCTCAGTAACTTTTCTGTGTTGTGTGTATTCAACTCACAGAGTTGAACCTTGCTTTAGAGAGAGCAGATTTGAAACACTCTCGCTGTGGAATTTTCAGGTGGAGATTTCAAGCGATTTGAGGACAATTGCAGAAAAGGAAATATCTTCGTATAATAACCAGACAGAATCATTCTCAGAAAGTGCTTTGTGATGTGTGCGTTCAACTCACAGAGTTTAACCTTTCTTTTCATAGAGGAGTTTGGAAACACACTGTTTGTAAAGTCTGCAATTGGATATATGGACCTGTTTGAGGCCTTCGTTGGAAACGGGATTTCTTCATTGCATGCTAGACGGAAGAATTCTCAGTAAATTCTTTGTGTTGTGTGCATTCAACTCACAGAGTGGAACGTCCCTTTAGACAGAGCAGATTTGAAACACTCTTTTTGCGGAATTTGCAAGTGGAGATTTCTAGCCATTTGATGCCAACAGTAGAAAGGGAAATATCTTCAAATAAAAACCAGACAGAATCATTCTCAGAAAATTCTTTGTGATGTGTGCGTTCAACTCACATAGTTTAACCTTTCTTTTCATAGAGCAGTTTGGAAACACTCTGTTTGTAAAGTCTGCAAGTGGATATATGGACCGCATTGAGGCCTTCGTTGGAAACGGGATTTCTTCATTTCATGCGAGACAGAAGAATTCTCAGTAACTTCTTTGTGCTGTGTGTATTCAACTCACAGAGTGGAACGTCCCTTTACACAGAGCAGATTTGAAACACTCTTTTTGTGGAGTTTGCAAATGGAGATTTCAAGCGATTTGATGCCAACAGTAGAAAAGGAAATATCTTCAAATAAAAACTAGACAGAATCATTCTCAGAAACTACTTTGTGATGTGTGCCTTCAACTCACAGAGTTTAACCTTTCTTTTCTTAGAGCAGTTTAGAAACACTCTGCTTGTTATGTCTGCAAGTGGATATTTGGACCTCTTTGAGGCCTTCGTTGCAAACGGGGTTTCTTCCTTTCATGCTAGACTAAGAAGAGTTCTCAGTAACTTTTTTGTGTTGTGTGTATTCAACTCACAGAGTTGAACCTTGCTTTAGAGAGAGCAGATTTGAAACACTCTTGCTGTGGCATTTTCAGGTGGAGATTTCAAGCGATTTGAGGACAATTGCAGAAAAGGAAATATCTTCGTATAATAACCAGACAGAATCATTCTCAGAAAGTGCTTTGTGATGTGTGCGTTCCACTCACAGAGTTTAACCTTTCTTTTCATAGAGGAGTTTGGAAACAAACTGTTTGTAAACTCTGCAAGTGGATATATGGACCTGTTTGAGGCCTTCGTTGGAAACGGGATTTCTTCATTGAATGCTAGACGGAAGAATTCTCAGTAAATTCTTTGTGTTGTGTGCATTCAACTCACAGAGTGGAACGTCCCTTTAGACAGAGCAGATTTGAAACACTCTTTTTGCGGAATTTGCAAGTGGAGATTTCTAGCCATTTGATGCCAACAGTAGAAAGGGAAATATCTTCAAATAAAAACCAGACAGAATCATTCTCAGAAAATTCTTTGTGATGTGTGCGTTCAACTCACATAGTTTAACCTTTCTTTTCATAGAGCAGTTTGGAAACACTCTGTTTGTAAAGTCTGCAAGTGGATATATGGACCGCATTGAGGCCTTCGTTGGAAACGGGATTTCTTCATTTCATGCTAGACAGAAGAATTCTCAGTAACTTCTTTGTGCTGTGTGTATTCAACTCACAGAGTGGAACGTCCCTTTACACAGAGCAGATTTGAAACACTCTTTTTGTGGAGTTTGCAAGTGGAGATTTCAAGCGATTTGATGCCAGCAGTAGAAAAGGAAATATCTTCAAATAAAAACTAGACAGAATCATTCTCAGAAACTACTTTGTGATGTGTGCCTTCAACTCACAGAGTTCAACCTTTCTTTTCTTAGAGCAGTTTAGAAACACTCTGCTTGTTATGTCTGCAAGTGGATATTTGGACCTCTTTGAGGCCTTCGTTGCAAACGGGGTTTCTTCCTTTCATGCTAGACTAAGAAGAGTTCTCAGTAACTTTTTTGTGTTGTGTGTATTCAACTCACAGAGTTGAACCTTGCTTTAGAGAGAGCAGATTTGAAACACTCTTGCTGTGGCATTTTCAGGTGGAGATTTCAAGCGATTTGAGGACAATTGCAGAAAAGGAAATATCTTCGTATAATAACCAGACAGAATCATTCTCAGAAAGTGCTTTGTGATGTGTGCGTTCAACTCACAGAGTTTAACCTTTCTTTTCATAGAGGAGTTTGGAAACACACTGTTTGTAAAGTCTGCAAGTGGATATATGGACCTGTTTGAGGCCTTCGTTGGAAACGGGATTTCTTCATTGAATGCTAGACGGAAGAATTCTCAGTAAATTCTTTGTGTTGTGTGCATTCAACTCACAGAGTGGAACGTCCCTTTAGACAGAGCAGATTTGAAACACTCTTTTTGCGGAATTTGCAAGTGGAGATTTCTAGCCATTTGATGCCAACAGTAGAAAGGGAAATATCTTCAAATAAAAACCAGACAGAATCATTCTCAGAAAATTC
This sequence comes from Homo sapiens, assembly GCF_000001405.40. Classification (NCBI taxonomy): domain Eukaryota; kingdom Metazoa; phylum Chordata; class Mammalia; order Primates; family Hominidae; genus Homo; species Homo sapiens. The sequence goes on from NC_000007.14 coordinate 60,777,317, forward strand.
TTTGTGATGTGTGCGTTCAACTCACATAGTTTAACCTTTCTTTTCATAGAGCAGTTTGGGAACACTCTGTTGGTAATGTCTGCAAGTGGATATATGGACCGCTTTGAGGCCTTCGTTGGAAACGGGATTTCTTCATTTCATGCTAGACAGAAGAATTCTCAGTAACTTCTTTGTGCTGTGTGTATTCAACTCACAGAGTGGAACGTCCCTTTGCACAGAGCAGATTTGAAACACTCTTTTTGTGGAGTTTGCAAGTGGAGATTTCAAGCGATTTGATGCCAACAGTAGAAAAGGAAATATCTTCAAATAAAAACTAGACAGAATCATTCTCAGAAACTACTTTGTGATGTGTGCCTTCAACTCACAGAGTTTAACCTTTCTTTTCTTAGAGCAGTTTAGAAACACTCTGCTTGTTATGTCTGCAAGTGGATATTTGGACCTCTTTGAGGCCTTCGTTGCAAACGGGGTTTCTTCCTTTCATGCTAGACTAAGAAGAGTTCTCAGTAACTTTTTTGTGTTGTGTGTATTCAACTCACAGAGTTGAACCTTGCTTTAGAGAGAGCAGATTTGAAACACTCTTGCTGTGGCATTTTCAGGTGGAGATTTCAAGCGTTTTGAGGACAATTGCAGAAAAGGAAATATCTTCGTATAATAACCAGACAGAATCATTCTCAGAAAGTGCTTTGTGATGTGTGCGTTCCACTCACAGAGTTTAACCTTTCTTTTCATAGAGGAGTTTGGAAACACACTGTTTGTAAAGTCTGCAAGTGGATATATGGACCTGTTTGAGGCCTTCGTTGGAAACGGGATTTCTTCATTGAATGCTAGACGGAAGAATTCTCAGTAAATTCTTTGTGTTGTGTGCATTCAACTGACAGAGTGGAACGTCCCTTTAGACAGAGCAGATTTGAAACACTCTTTTTGCGGAATTTGCAAGTGGAGATTTCTAGCCATTTGATGCCAACAGTAGAAAGGGAAATATCTTCAAATAAAAACCAGACAGAATCATTCTCAGAAAATTCTTTGTGATGTGTGCGTTCAACTCACATAGTTTAACCTTTCTTTTCATAGAGCAGTTTGGAAACACTCTGTTTGTAAAGTCTGCAAGTGGATATATGGACCGCATTGAGGCCTTCGTTGGAAACGGGATTTCTTCATTTCATGCTAGACAGAAGAATTCTCAGTAACTTCTTTGTGCTGTGTGTATTCAACTCACAGAGTGGAACGTCCCTTTGCACAGAGCAGATTTGAAACACTCTTTTTGTGGAATTTGCAAGTGGAGATTTCAAGCGATTTGATGCCAACAGTAGAAAAGGAAATATCTTCAAATAAAAACTAGACAGAATCATTCTCAGAAACTACTTTGTGATGTGTGCCTTCAACTCACAGAGTTTAACCTTTCTTTTCTTAGAGCAGTTTAGAAACACTCTGCTTGTTATGTCTGCAAGTGGATATTTGGACCTCTTTGAGGCCTTCGTTGCAAACGGGGTTTCTTCCTTTCATGCTAGACTAAGAAGAGTTCTCAGTAACTTTTTTGTGTTGTGTGTATTCAACTCACAGAGTTGAACCTTGCTTTAGAGAGAGCAGATTTGAAACACTCTTGCTGTGGCATTTTCAGGTGGAGATTTCAAGCGATTTGAGGACAATTGCAGAAAAGGAAATATCTTCGTATAATAACCAGACAGAATCATTCTCAGAAAGTGCTTTGTGATGTGTGCGTTCAACTCACAGAGTTTAATCTTTCTTTTCATAGAGGAGTTTGGAAACACACTGTTTGTAAAGTCTGCAATTGGATATATGGACCTGTTTGAGGCCTTCGTTGGAAACGGGATTTCTTCATTGAATGCTAGACGGAAGAATTCTCAATAAATTCTTTGTGTTGTGTGCATTCAACTGACAGAGTGGAACGTCCCTTTAGACAGAGCAGATTTGAAACACTCTTTTTGCGGAATTTGCAAGTGGAGATTTCTAGCCATTTGATGCCAACAGTAGAAAGGGAAATATCTTCAAATAAAAACCAGACAGAATCATTCTCAGAAAATTCTTTGTGATGTGTGCGTTCAACTCACATAGTTTAACCTTTCTTTTCATAGAGCAGTTTGGAAACACTCTGTTTGTAAAGTCTGCAAGTGGATATATGGACCGCATTGAGGCTTTCGTTGGAAACGGGATTTCTTCATTTCATACTAGACAGAAGAATTCTCAGTAACTTCTTTGTGCTGTGTGTATTCAACTCACAGAGTGGAACTTCCCTTTGCACAGAGCAGATTTGAAACACTCTTTTTGTGGAGTTTGCAAGTGGAGATTTCAAGCGATTTGATGCCAACAGTAGAAAAGGAAATATCTTCAAATAAAAACTAGACAGAATCATTCTCAGAAACTTCTTTGTGATGTGTGCCCTCAACTCACAGAGTTTAACCTTTCTTTTCTTAGAGCAGTTTAGAAACACTCTGCTTGTTATGTCTGCAAGTGGATATTTGGACCTCTTTGAGGCCTTCCTTGCAAACGGGGTTTCTTCCTTTCATGCTAGACTAAGAGAGAGTTCTCAGTAACTTTTTTGTGCTGTGTGTATTCAACTCACAGAGTTGAACCTTGCTTTAGAGAGAGCAGATTTGAAACACTCTTGCTGTGGCATTTTCAGGTGGAGATTTCAAGCGATTTGAGGACAATTGCAGAAAAGGAAATATCTTCGTATAACAACCAGACAGAATCATTCTCAGAAAGTGCTTTGTGATGTGTGCGTTCCACTCACAGAGTTTAACCTTTCTTTTCATAGAGGAGTTTGGAAACACACTGTTTGTAAAGTCTGCAAGTGGATATATGGACCTGTTTGAGGCCTTCGTTGGAAACGGGATTTCTTCATTGAATGCTAGACGGAAGAGTTCTCAGTAACTTTTTTGTGTTGTGTGCATTCAACTCACAGAGTGGAACGTCCCTTTAGACAGAGCAGATTTGAAACACTCTTTTTGCGGAAGTTGCAAGTGGAGATTTCTAGCCATTTGATGCCAACAGTACAAAGGGAAATATCTTCAAATAAAAACTAGACAGAATCATTCTCAGAAAATTCTTTGTGATGTGTGCGTTCAACTCACATAGTTTAACCTTTCTTTTCATAGAGCAGTTTGGAAACACTCTGTTTGTAAAGTCTGCAAGTGGATATATGGACCGCATTGAGGCCTTCATTGGAAACGGGATTTCTTCATTTCATGCTAGACAGAAGAATTCTCAGTAACTTCTTTGTGCTGTGTGTATTCAACTCACAGAGTGGAACGTCCCTTTGCACAGAGCAGATTTGAAACACTCTTTTTGTGGAGTTTGCAAGTGGAGATTTCAAGCGATTTGATGCCAACAGTAGAAAAGGAAATATCTTCAAATAAAAACTAGACAGAATCATTCTCAGAAACTACTTTGTGATGTGTGCCTTCAACTCACAGAGTTTAACCTTTCTTTTCTTAGAGCAGTTTAGAAACACTCTGCTTGTTATGTCTGCAAGTGGATATTTGGACCTCTTTGAGGCCTTCGTTGCAAACGGGGTTTCTTCCTTTCATGCTAGACTAAGAAGAGTTCTCAGTAACTTTTTTGTGTTGTGTGTATTCAACTCACAGAGTTGAACCTTGCTTTAGAGAGAGCAGATTTGAAACACTCTTGCTGTGGCATTTTCAGGTGGAGATTTCAAGCGATTTGAGGACAATTGCAGAAAAGGAAATATCTTCGTATAATAACCAGACAGAATCATTCTCAGAAAGTGCTTTGTGATGTGTGCGTTCAACTCACAGAGTTTAACCTTTCTTTTCATAGAGGAGTTTGGAAACACACTGTTTGTAAAGTCTGCAATTGGATATATGGACCTGTTTGAGGCCTTCGTTGGAAACGGGATTTCTTCATTGAATGCTAGACGGAAGAATTCTCAGTAAATTCTTTGTGTTGTGTGCATTCAACTCACAGAGTGGAACGTCCCTTTAGACAGAGCAGATTTGAAACACTCTTTTTGCGGAATTTGCAAGTGGAGATTTCTAGCCATTTGATGCCAACAGTAGAAAGGGAAATATCTTCAAATAAAAACCAGACAGAATCATTCTCAGAAAATTCTTTGTGATGTGTGCGTTCAACTCACATAGTTTAACCTTTCTTTTCATAGAGCAGTTTGGAAACACTCTGTTTGTAAAGTCTGCAAGTGGATCTATGGACCGCATTGAGGCCTTCGTTGGAAACGGGATTTCTTCATTTCATGCTAGACAGAAGAATTCTCAGTAACTTCTTTGTGCTGTGTGTATTCAACTCACAGAGTGGAACGTCCCTTTACACAGAGCAGATTTGAAACACTCTTTTTGTGGAGTTTGCAAGTGGAGATTTCAAGCGATTTGATGCCAACAGTAGAAAAGGAAATATCTTCAAATAAAAACTAGACAGAATCATTCTCAGAAACTACTTTGTGATGTGTGCCTTCAACTCACAGAGTTTAACCTTTCTTTTCTTAGAGCAGTTTAGAAACACTCTGCTTGTTATGTCTGCAAGTGGATATTTGGACCTCTTTGAGGCCTTCGTTGCAAACGGGGTTTCTTCCTTTCATGCTAGACTAAGAGAAGAGTTCTCAGTAACTTTTTTGTGTTGTGTGTATTCAACTCACAGAGTTGAACCTTGCTTTAGAGAGAGCAGATTTGAAACACTCTTGCTGTGGAATTTTCAGGTGGAGATTTCAAGCGATTTGAGGACAATTGCAGAAAAGGAAATATCTTCGTATAATAACCAGACAGAATCATTCTCAGAAAGTGCTTTGTGATGTGTGCGTTCAACTCACGGAGTTTAACCTTTCTTTTCATAGAGCAGTTTGGAAACACACTGTTTGTAAAATCTACGAGTGGATATTTGGACCTCTTTGAGGCCTTCATTGGAAATGGGATTTTTTCATATAATGCTAGACGGAAGAATTCTCAGTAAATTCTTTGTGTTGTGTGCATTCAACTGACAGAGTGGAACGTCCCTTTAGACAGAGCAGATTTGAAACACTCTTTTTGCGGAATTTGCAAGTGGAGATTTCTAGCCATTTGATGCCAACAGTAGAAAGGGAAATATCTTCAAATAAAAACCAGACAGAATCATTCTCAGAAAATTCTTTGTGATGTGTGCGTTCAACTCACATAGTTTAACCTTTCTTTTCATAGAGCAGTTTGGGAACACTCTGTTGGTAATGTCTGCAAGTGGATATATGGACCGCTTTGAGGCCTTCGTTGGAAACGGGATTTCTTCATTTCATGCTAGACAGAAGAATTCTCAGTAACTTCTTTGTGCTGTGTGTATTCAACTCACAGAGTGGAACGTCCCTTTGCACAGAGCAGATTTGAAACACTCTTTTTGTGGAGTTTGCAAGTGGAGATTTCAAGCGATTTGATGCCAACAGTAGAAAAGGAAATATCTTCAAATAAAAACTAGACAGAATCATTCTCAGAAACTACTTTGTGATGTGTGCCTTCAACTCACAGAGTTTAACCTTTCTTTTCTTAGAGCAGTTTAGAAACACTCTGCTTGTTATGTCTGCAAGTGGATATTTGGACCTCTTTGAGGCCTTCGTTGCAAACGGGGTTTCTTCCTTTCATGCTAGACTAAGAAGAGTTCTCAGTAACTTTTTTGTGTTGTGTGTATTCAACTCACAGAGTTGAACCTTGCTTTAGAGAGAGCAGATTTGAAACACTCTTGCTGTGGCATTTTCAGGTGGAGATTTCAAGCGATTTGAGGACAATTGCAGAAAAGGAAATATCTTCGTATAATAACCAGACAGAATCATTCTCAGAAAGTGCTTTGTGATGTGTGCGTTCAACTCACAGAGTTTAACCTTTCTTTTCATAGAGGAGTTTGGAAACACACTGTTTGTAAAGTCTGCAAGTGGATATATGGACCTGTTTGAGGCCTTCGTTGGAAACGGGATTTCTTCATTGAATGCTAGGCGGAAGAATTCTCAGTAAATTCTTTGTGTTGTGTGCATTCAACTCACAGAGTGGAACGTCCCTTTAGACAGAGCAGATTTGAAACACTCTTTTTGCGGAATTTGCAAGTGGAGATTTCTAGCCATTTGATGCCAACAGTAGAAAGGGAAATATCTTCAAATAAAAACCAGACAGAATCATTCTCAGAAAATTCTTTGTGATGTGTGCGTTCAACTCACATAGTTTAACCTTTCTTTTCATAGAGCAGTTTGGAAACACTCTGTTTGTAAAGTCTGCAAGTGGATCTATGGACCGCATTGAGGCCTTCGTTGGAAACGGGATTTCTTCATTTCATGCTAGACAGAAGAATTCTCAGTAACTTCTTTGTGCTGTGTGTATTCAACTCACAGAGTGGAACGTCCCTTTGCACAGAGCAGATTTGAAACACTCTTTTTGTGGAATTTGCAAGTGGAGATTTCAAGCGATTTGATGCCAACAGTAGAAAAGGAAATATCTTCAAATAAAAACTAGACAGAATCATTCTCAGAAACTACTTTGTGATGTGTGCCTTCAACTCACAGAGTTTAACCTTTCTTTTCTTAGAGCAGTTTAGAAACACTCTGCTTGTTATGTCTGCAAGTGGATATTTGGACCTCTTTGAGGCCTTCGTTGCAAACGGGGTTTCTTCCTTTAATGCTAGACTAAGAAGAGTTCTCAGTAACTTTTTTGTGTTGTGTGTATTCAACTCACAGAGCTGAACCTTGCTTTAGAGAGAGCAGATTTGAAACACTCTTGCTGTGGCATTTTCAGGTGGAGATTTCAAGCGATTTGAGGACAATTGCAGAAAAGGAAATATCTTCGTATAACAACCAGACAGAATCATTCTCAGAAAGTGCTTTGTGATGTGTGCGTTCAACTCACACAGTTTAACCTTTCTTTCCATAGAGGAGTTTGGAAACACACTGTTTGTAAAGTCTGCAAGTGGATATATGGACCTGTTTGAGGCCTTCGTTGGAAACGGGATTTCTTCATTGAATGCTAGACGGAAGAATTCTCAGTAAATTCTTTGTGTTGTGTGCATTCAACTCACAGAGTGAAACATCCCTTTAGACAGAGCAGATTTGAAACACTCTTTTTGCGGAATTTGCAAGTGGAGATTTCTAGCCATTTGATGCCAACAGTAGAAAGGGAAACATCTTCAAATAAAAACCAGACAGAATCATTCTCAGAAAATTCTTTGTGATGTGTGCGTTCAACTCACATAGTTTAACCTTTCTTTTCATAGAGCAGTTTGGAAACACTCTGTTTGTAAAGTCTGCAAGTGGATATATGGACCGCATTGAGGCCTTCGTTGGAAACGGGATTTCTTCATTTCATGCTAGACAGAAGAATTCTCAGTAACTTCTTTGTGCTGTGTGTATTCAACTCACAGAGTGGAACGTCCCTTTGCACAGAGCAGATTTGAAACACTCTTTTTGTGGAATTTGCAAGTGGAGATTTCAAGCGATTTGATGCCAACAGTAGAAAAGGAAATATCTTCAAATAAAAACTAGACAGAATCATTCTCAGAAACTACTTTGTGATGTGTGCCTTCAACTCACAGAGTTTAACCTTTCTTTTCTTAGAGCAGTTTAGAAACACTCTGCTTGTTATGTCTGCAAGTGGATATTTGGACCTCTTTGAGGCCTTCGTTGCAAACGGGGTTTCTTCCTTTCATGCTAGACTAAGAAGAGTTCTCAGTAACTTTTTTGTGTTGTGTGTATTCAACTCACAGAGCTGAACCTTGCTTTAGAGAGAGCAGATTTGAAACACTCTTGCTGTGGCATTTTCAGGTGGAGATTTCAAGCGATTTGAGGACAATTGCAGAAAAGGAAATATCTTCGTATAACAACCAGACAGAATCATTCTCAGAAAGTGCTTTGTGATGTGTGCGTTCAACTCACAGAGTTTAACCTTTCTTTTCATAGAGGAGTTTGGAAACACACTGTTTGTAAAGTCTGCAATTGGATATATGGACCTGTTTGAGGCCTTCGTTGGAAACGGGATTTTATCATATAATGATAGACGGAAGAATTCTCAGTAAATTCTTTGTGTTGTGTGCATTCAACTCACAGAGTGGAACGTCCCTTTAGACAGAGCAGATTTGAAACACTCTTTTTGCGGAATTTGCAAGTGGAGATTTCTAGCCATTTGATGCCAACAGTAGAAAGGGAAATATCTTCAAATAAAAACCAGACAGAATCATTCTCAGAAAATTCTTTGTGATGTGTGCGTTCAACTCACATAGTTTAACCTTTCTTTTCATAGAGCAGTTTGGAAACACTCTGTTTGTAAAGTCTGCAAGTGGATATATGGACCGCATTGAGGCCTTCGTTGGAAACGGGATTTCTTCATTTCATGCTAGACAGAAGAATTCTCAGTAACTTCTTTGTGCTGTGTGTATTCAACTCACAGAGTGGAACGTCCCTTTGCACAGAGCAGATTTGAAACACTCTTTTTGTGGAGTTTGCAAGTGGAGATTTCAAGCGATTTGATGCCAACAGTAGAAAAGGAAATATCTTCAAATAAAAACTAGACAGAATCATTCTCAGAAACTACTTTGTGATGTGTGCCTTCAACTCACAGAGTTTAACCTTTCTTTTCTTAGAGCAGTTTAGAAACACTCTGCTTGTTATGTCTGCAAGTGGATATTTGGACCTCTTTGAGGCCTTCGTTGCAAACGGGGTTTCTTCCTTTCATGCTAGACTAAGAAGAGTTCTCAGTAACTTTTTTGTGTTGTGTGTATTCAACTCACAGAGTTGAACCTTGCTTTAGAGAGAGCAGATTTGAAACACTCTTGCTGTGGCATTTTCAGGTGGAGATTTCAAGCGATTTGAGGACAATTACAGAAAAGGAAATATCTTCGTATAACAACCAGACAGAATCATTCTCAGAAAGTGCTTTGTGATGTGTGCGTTCAACTCACAGAGTTTAACCTTTCTTTTCATAGAGGAGTTTGGAAACACACTGTTTGTAAAGTCTGCAAGTGGATATATGGACCTGTTTGAGGCCTTCGTTGGAAACGGGATTTCTTCATTGAATGCTAGACAGAAGAATTCTCAGTAAATTCTTTGTGTTGTGTGCATTCAACTCACAGAGTGGAACGTCCCTTTAGACAGAGCAGATTTGAAACACTCTTTTTGCGGAATTTGCAAGTGGAGATTTCTAGCCATTTGATGCCAACAGTAGAAAGGGAAATATCTTCAAATAAAAACCAGACAGAATCATTCTCAGAAAATTATTTGTGATGTGTGCGTTCAACTCACATAGTTTAACCTTTCTTTTCATAGAGCAGTTTGGAAACACTCTGTTTGTAAAGTCTGCAAGTGGATATATGGACCGCATTGAGGCCTTCGTTGGAAACGGGATTTCTTCATTTCATGCTAGACAGAAGAATTCTCAGTAACTTCTTTGTGCTGTGTGTATTCAACTCACAGAGTGGAACGTCCCTTTGCACAGAGCAGATTTGAAACACTCTTTTTGTGGAATTTGCAAGTGGAGATTTCAAGCGATTTGATGCCAACAGTAGAAAAGGAAATATCTTCAAATAAAAACTAGACAGAATCATTCTCAGAAACTACTTTGTGATGTGTGCCTTCAACTCACAGAGTTTAACCTTTCTTTTCTTAGAGCAGTTTAGAAACACTCTGCTTGTTATGTCTGCAAGTGGATATTTGGACCTCTTTGAGGCCTTCGTTGCAAACGGGGTTTCTTCCTTTCATGCTAGACTAAGAAGAGTTCTCAGTAACTTTTCTGTGTTGTGTGTATTCAACTCACAGAGTTGAACCTTGCTTTAGAGAGAGCAGATATGAAACACTCTTGCTGTGACATTTTCAGGTGGAGATTTCAAGCGATTTGAGGACAATTGCAGAAAAGGAAATATCTTCGTATAACAACCAGACAGAATCATTCTCAGAAAGTGCTTTGTGATGTGTGCGTTCCACTCACAGAGTTTAACCTTTCTTTTCATAGAGGAGTTTGGAAACACACTGTTTGTAAAGTCTGCAAGTGGATATATGGACCTGTTTGAGGCCTTCGTTGGAAACGGGATTTCTTCATTGAATGCTAGACGGAAGAATTCTCAGTAAATTCTTTGTGTTGTGTGCATTCAACTCACAGAGTGGAACGTCCCTTTAGACAGAGCAGATTTGAAACACTCTTTTTGCGGAATTTGCAAGTGGAGATTTCTAGCCATTTGATGCCAACAGTAGAAAGGGAAATATCTTCAAATAAAAACCAGACAGAATCATTCTCAGAAAATTCTTTGTGATGTGTGCGTTCAACTCACATAGTTTAACCTTTCTTTTCATAGAGCAGTTTGGAAACACTCTGTTTGTAAAGTCTGCAAGTGGATATATGGACCGCATTGAGGCCTTCGTTGGAAACGGGATTTCTTCATTTCATGCTAGACAGAAGAATTCTCAGTAACTTCTTTGTGCTGTGTGTATTCAACTCACAGAGTGGAACGTCCCTTTGCACAGAGCAGATTTGAAACACTCTTTTTGTGGAATTTGCAAGTGGAGATTTCAAGCGATTTGATGCCAACAGTAGAAAAGGAAATATCTTCAAATAAAAACTAGACAGAATCATTCTCAGAAACTACTTTGTGATGTGTGCCTTCAACTCACAGAGTTTAACCTTTCTTTTCTTAGAGCAGTTTAGAAACACTCTGCTTGTTATGTCTGCAAGTGGATATTTGGACCTCTTTGAGGCCTTCGTTGCAAACGGGGTTTCTTCCTTTCATGCTAGACTAAGAAGAGTTCTCAGTAACTTTTTTGTGTTGTGTGTATTCACCTCACAGAGTTGAACCTTGCTTTAGAGAGAGCAGATTTGAAACACTCTCGCTGTGGCATTTTCAGGTGGAGATTTCAAGCGATTTGAGGACAATTGCAGAAAAGGAAATATCTTCGTATAATAACCAGACAGAATCATTCTCAGAAAGTGCTTTGTGATGTGTGCGTTCAACTCACAGAGTTTAACCTTTCTTTTCATAGAGGAGTTTGGAAACACACTGTTTGTAAAGTCTGCAATTGGATATATGGACCTGTTTGAGGCCTTCGTTGGAAACGGGATTTCTTCATTGAATGCTAGACGGAAGAATTCTCAGTAAATTCTTTGTGTTGTGTGCATTCAACTGACAGAGTGGAACGTCCCTTTAGACAGAGCAGATTTGAAACACTCTTTTTGCGGAATTTGCAAGTGGAGATTTCTAGCCATTTGATGCCAACAGTAGAAAGGGAAATATCTTCAAATAAAAACCAGACAGAATCATTCTCAGAAAATTCTTTGTGATGTGTGCGTTCAACTCACATAGTTTAACCTTTCTTTTCATAGAGCAGTTTGGAAACACTCTGTTTGTAAAGTCTGCAAGTGGATATATGGACCGCATTGAGGCCTTCGTTGGAAACGGGATTTCTTCATTTCATGCTAGACAGAAGAATTCTCAGTAACTTCTTTGTGCTGTGTGTATTCAACTCACAGAGTGGAACGTCCCTTTGCACAGAGCAGATTTGAAACACTCTTTTTGTGGAATTTGCAAGTGGAGATTTCAAGCGATTTGATGCCAACAGTAGAAAAGGAAATATCTTCAAATAAAAACTAGACAGAATCATTCTCAGAAACTACTTTGTGAAGTATGCCTTCAACTCACAGAGTTTAACCTTTCTTTTCTTAGAGCCGTTTAGAAACACTCTGCTTGTTATGTCTGCAAGTGGATATTTGGACCTCTTTGAGGCCTTCGTTGCAAACGGGATTTCTTCATTTAATTCTAGACTAATTCGAGTTCTCAGTAACTTTTTTGTGTTGTGTGTATTCAACTCACAGGGTTGAACCTTGCTTTAGAGAGAGCAGATTTGAAACACTCTTGCTGTGGTATTTTCAGTTGGAGATTTCAAGCGATTTGAGGACAATTGCAGAAAAGGAAATGTCTTCGTATAAAAACCAGACAGAATCATTCTCCGAAAGTGCTTTGTGATGTGTGCGTTCAACTCACAGAGTTTAACCTTTCTTTTCATAGAGGAGTTTGGAAACACACTGTTTGTAAAGTCTGCAAGTGGATATATGGACCTGTTTGAGGCCTTCGTTGGAAACGGGATTTCATCATATAATGCTAGACGGAAGAATTCTCAGTAAATTCTTTGTGTTGTGTGCATTCAACTCACAGAGTGGAACGTCCCTTTAGACAGAGCAGATTTGAAACACTCTTTTTGCGGAATTTGCAAGTGGAGATTTCTAGCCATTTGATGCCAACAGTAGAAAGGGAAATATCTTCAAATAAAAACCAGACAGAATCATTCTCAGAAAATTCTTTGTGATGTGTGCGTTCAACTCACATAGTTTAACCTTTCTTTTCATAGAGCAGTTTGGAAACACTCTGTTTGTAAAGTCTGCAAGTGGATATATGGACCGCATTGAGGCCTTCGTTGGAAACGGGATTTCTTCATTTCATGCTAGACAGAAGAATTCTCAGTAACTTCTTTGTGCTGTGTGTATTCAACTCACAGAGTGGAACGTCCCTTTGCACAGAGCAGATTTGAAACACTCTTTTTGTGGAGTTTGCAAGTGGAGATTTCAAGCGATTTGATGCCAACAGTAGAAAAGGAAATATCTTCAAATAAAAACTAGACAGAATCATTCTCAGAAACTACTTTGTGATGTGTGCCTTCAACTCACAGAGTTTAACCTTTCTTTTCTTAGAGCAATTTAGAAACACTCTGCTTGTTATGTCTGCTAGTTGATATTTGGACCTCTTTGAGGCCTTCGTTGCAAACGGGGTTTCTTCCTTTCATGCTAGACTAAGAAGAGTTCTCAGTAACTTTTTTGTGTTGTGTGTATTCAACTCACAGAGTTGAACCTTGCTTTAGAGAGAGCAGATTTGAAACACTCTTGCTGTGGCATTTTCAGGTGGAGATTTCAAGCGATTTGAGGACAATTGCAGAAAAGGAAATATCTTCGTATAATAACCAGACAGAATCATTCTCAGAAAGTGCTTTGTGATGTGTGCGTTCAACTCACAGAGTTTAACCTTTCTTTTCATAGAGGAGTTTGGAAACACACTGTTTGTAAAGTCTGCAATTGGATATATGGACCTGTTTGAGGCCTTCGTTGGAAACGGGATTTCTTCATTGAATGCTAGACGGAAGAATTCTCAGTAAATTCTTTGTGTTGTGTGCATTCAACTCACAGAGTGGAACGTCCCTTTAGACAGAGCAGATTTGAAACACTCTTTTTGCGGAATTTGCAAGTGGAGATTTCTAGCCATTTGATGCCAACAGTAGAAAGGGAAATATCTTCAAATAAAAACCAGACAGAATCATTCTCAGAAAATTCTTTGTGATGTGTGCGTTCAACTCACATAGTTTAACCTTTCTTTTCATAGAGCAGTTTGGAAACACTCTGTTTGTAAAGTCTGCAAGTGGATATATGGACCGCATTGAGGCCTTCGTTGGAAACGGGATTTCTTCATTTCATGCTAGACAGAAGAATTCTCAGTAACTTCTTTGTGCTGTGTGTATTCAACTCACAGAGTGGAACGTCCCTTTACACAGAGCAGATTTGAAACACTCTTTTTGTGGAGTTTGCAAGTGGAGATTTCAAGCGATTTGATGCCAACAGTAGAAAAGGAAATATCTTCAAATAAAAACTAGACAGAATCATTCTCAGAAACTACTTTGTGATGTGTGCCTTCAACTCACAGAGTTTAACCTTTCTTTTCTTAGAGCAGTTTAGAAACACTCTGCTTGTTATGTCTGCAAGTGGATATTTGGACCTCTTTGAGGCCTTCGTTGCAAACGGGGTTTCTTCCTTTCATGCTAGACTAAGAAGAGTTCTCAGTAACTTTTTTGTGTTGTGTGTATTCAACTCACAGAGTTGAACCTTGCTTTAGAGAGAGCAGATTTGAAACACTCTTGCTGTGGCATTTTCAGGTGGAGATTTCAAGCGATTTGAGGACAATTGCAGAAAAGGAAATATCTTCGTATAATAACCAGACAGAATCATTCTCAGAAAGTGCTTTGTGATGTGTGCGTTCAACTCACAGAGTTTAACCTTTCTTTTCATAGAGGAGTTTGGAAACACACTGTTTGTAAAGTCTGCAATTGGATATATGGACCTGTTTGAGGCCTTCTTTGGAAACGGGATTTCTTCATTGAATGCTAGACGGAAGAATTCTCAGTAAATTCTTTGTGTTGTGTGCATTCAACTGACAGAGTGGAACGTCCCTTTAGACAGAGCAGATTTGAAACACTCTTTTTGCGGAATTTGCAAGTGGAGATTTCTAGCCATTTGATGCCAACAGTAGAAAGGGAAATATCTTCAAATAAAAACCAGACAGAATCATTCTCAGAAAATTCTTTGTGATGTGTGCGTTCAACTCACATAGTTTAACCTTTCTTTTCATAGAGCAGTTTGGAAACACTCTGTTTGTAAAGTCTGCAAGTGGATATATGGACCGCATTGAGGCCTTCGTTGGAAACCGGATTTCTTCATTTCATGCTAGACAGAAGAATTCTCAGTAACTTCTTTGTGCTGTGTGTATTCAACTCACAGAGTGGAACGTCCCTTTACACAGAGCAGATTTGAAACACTCTTTTTGTGGAGTTTGCAAGTGGAGATTTCAAGCGATTTGATGCCAACAGTAGAAAAGGAAATATCTTCAAATAAAAACTAGACAGAATCATTCTCAGAAACTACTTTGTGATGTGTGCCTTCAACTCACAGAGTTTAACCTTTCTTTTCTTAGAGCAGTTTAGAAACACTCTGCTTGTTATGTCTGCAAGTGGATATTTGGACCTCTTTGAGGCCTTCGTTGCAAACGGGGTTTCTTCCTTTCATGCTAGACTAAGAAGAGTTCTCAGTAACTTTTTTGTGTTGTGTGTATTCAACTCACAGAGTTGAACCTTGCTTTAGAGAGAGCAGATTTGAAACACTCTTGCTGTGGCATTTTCAGGTGGAGATTTCAAGCGATTTGAGGACAATTGCAGAAAAGGAAATATCTTCGTATAATAACCAGACAGAATCATTCTCAGAAAGTGCTTTGTGATGTGTGCGTTCAACTCACAGAGTTTAACCTTTCTTTTCATAGAGGAGCTTGGAAACACACTGTTTGTAAAGTCTGCAATTGGATATATGGACCGCATTGAGGCCTCCGTTGGAAACGGGATTTCTTCATTGAATGCTAGACGGAAGAATTCTCAGTAAATTCTTTGTGTTGTGTGCATTCAACTCACAGAGTGGAACGTCCCTTTAGACAGAGCAGATTTGAAACACTCTTTTTGCGGAATTTGCAACTGGAGATTTCTAGCCATTTGATGCCAAGAGTAGAAAGGGAAATATCTTCAAATAAAAACCAGACAGAATCATTCTCAGAAAATTCTTTGTGATGTGTGCGTTCAACTCACATAGTTTAACCTTTCTTTTCATAGAGCAGTTTGGAAACACTCTGTTTGTAAAGTCTGCAAGTGGATATATGGACCGCATTGAGGCCTTCGTTGGAAACGGGATTTCTTCATTTCATGCTAGACAGAAGAATTCTCAGTAACTTCTTTGTGCTGTGTGTATTCAACTCACAGAGTGGAACGTCCCTTTACACAGAGCAGATTTGAAACACTCTTTTTGTGGAGTTTGCAAGTGGAGATTTCAAGCGATTTGATGCCAACAGTAGAAAAGGAAATATCTTCAAATAAAAACTAGACAGAATCATTCTCAGAAACTACTTTGTGATGTGTGCCTTCAACTCACAGAGTTTAACCTTTCTTTTCTTAGAGCAGTTTAGAAACACTCTGCTTGTTATGTCTGCAAGTGGATATTTGGACCTCTTTGAGGCCTTCGTTGCAAACGGGGTTTCTTCCTTTCATGCTAGACTAAGAAGAGTTCTCAGTAACTTTTTTGTGTTGTGTGTATTCAACTCACAGAGTTGAACCTTGCTTTAGAGAGAGCAGATTTGAAACACTCTCGCTGTGGAATTTTCATGTGGAGATTTCAAGCGATTTGAGGACAATTGCAGAAAAGGAAATATCTTCGTATAATAACCAGACAGAATCATTCTCAGAAAGTGCTTTGTGATGTGTGCGTTCCACTCACAGAGTTTAACCTTTCTTTTCATAGAGGAGTTTGGAAACACACTGTTTGTAAAGTCTGCAAGTGGATATATGGACCTCTTTGAGGCCTTCGTTGGAAACGGGATTTCTTCATTGAATGCTAGACGGAAGAATTCTCAGTAAACTCTTTTTGTTGTGTGCATTCAACTCACTGAGTGGAACGTCCCTTTAGACAGAGCAGATTTGAAACACTCTTTTTGCGAAATTTGGAAGTGCAGATTTCAAGCCATTTGATGCCAACAATAGAAAGGGAAATATCTTCAAATAAAAACTAGACAGAATCATTCTCAGAAAATTCTTTGTGATGTGTGCGTTCAACTCACATAGTTTAACCTTTCTTTTCATAGAGCAGTTTGGAAACACTCTCTTTGTAAAGTCTGCAAGTAGATATATGGACCGCTTTGAGGCCTTCGTTGGAAACGGGTTTTCTTCATTTCATGCTAGACAGAAGAATTCTCAGTAACTTCTTTCTGCTGTGTGTATTCAACTCACAGAGTGCAACGTCCCTTTACACAGAGCAGATTTGAAACACTCTTTTTGTGGAATTTGCAAGTGGAGATTTCAAGCGATATGATGCCAACAGTAGAAAAGGAAATATCTTGAAATAAAAACTAGACAGAATCATTCTCAGAAACTACTATGTGATGTGTGCCTTCAACTCGCAGAGTTTAACCTTTCTTTTCTTAGAGCAGTTTAGAAACACTCTGCTTGTTATGTCTGCAAGTGGATATTTGGACCTCTTTGAGGCCTTCGTTGCAAACGGGATTTCTTCCTTTAATGCTAGACTAAGAAGAGTTCTCAGTAACTTTTTTGTGTTGTGTGTATTCAACTCACAGAGTTGAACCTTGCTTTAGAGAGAGCAGATTTGAAACACTCTTGCTGTGGCATTTTCAGGTGGAGATTTCAAGCGATTTGAGGACAATTGCAGAAAAGGAAATATCTTCGTATAACAACCAGACAGAATCATTCTCAGAAAGTGCTTTGTGATGTGTGCGTTCAACTCACAGAGTTTAACCTTTCTTTTCATAGAGGAGTTTGGAAACACACTGTTTGTAAAGTCTGCAATTGGATATATGGACCTGTTTGAGGCCTTCGTTGGAAACGGGATTTCTTCATTGCATGCTAGACGGAAGAATTCTCAGTAAATTCTTTGTGTTGTGTGCATTCAACTCACAGAGTGGAACGTCCCTTTAGACACAGCAGATTTGAAACACTCTTTTTGCGGAATTTGCAAGTGGAGATTTCTAGCCATTTGATGCCAACAGTAGAAAGGGAAATATCTTCAAATAAAAACCAGACAGAATCATTCTCAGAAAATTCTTTGTGATGTGTGCGTTCAACTCACATAGTTTAACCTTTCTTTTCATAGAGCAGTTTGGAAACACTCTGTTTGTAAAGTCTGCAAGTGGATATATGGACCGCATTGAGGCCTTCGTTGGAAACGGGATTTCTTCATTTCATGCTAGACAGAAGAATTCTCAGTAACTTCTTTGTGCTGTGTGTATTCAACTCACAGAGTGCAACGTCCCTTTACACAGAGCAGATTTGAAACACTCTTTTTGTGGAATTTGCAAGTGGAGATTTCAAGCGATTTGATGCCAACAGTAGAAAAGGAAATATCTTCAAATAAAAACTAGACAGAATCATTCTCAGAAACTACTTTGTGATGTGTGCCTTCAACTCACAGAGTTTAACCTTTCTTTTCTTAGAGCAGTTTAGAAACACTCTGCTTGTTATGTCTGCAAGTGGATATTTGGACCTCTTTGAGGCCTTCGTTGCAAACGGGGTTTCTTCCTTTCATGCTAGACTAAGAAGAGTTCTCAGTAACATTTCTGTGTTGTGTGTATTCAACTCACAGAGTTGAACCTTGCTTTAGAGAGAGCAGATTTGAAACACTCTTGCTGTGGCATTTTCAGGTGGAGATTTCAATCGTTTTGAGGACAATTGCAGAAAAGGAAATATCTTCGTATAATAACCAGACAGAATCATTCTCAGAAAGTGCTTTGTGATGTGTGCGTTCAACTCACAGAGTTTAACCTTTCTTTTCATAGAGGAGTTTGGAAACACACTGTTTGTAAAGTCTGCAATTGGATATATGGACCTGTTTGAGGCCTTCGTTGGAAACGGGATTTCTTCATTGAATGCTAGACGGAAGAATTCTCAGTAAATTCTTTGTGTTGTGTGCATTCAACTCACACAGTGGAACGTCCCTTTAGACAGAGCAGATTTGAAACACTCTTTTTGCGGAATTTGCAAGTGGAGATTTCTAGCCATTTGATGCCAACAGTAGAAAGGGAAATATCTTCAAATAAAAACCAGACAGAATCATTCTCAGAAAATTCTTTGTGATGTGTGCGTTCAACTCACATAGTTTAACCTTTCTTTTCATAGAGCAGTTTGGAAACACTCTGTTTGTAAAGTCTGCAAGTGGATCTATGGACCGCATTGAGGCCTTCGTTGGAAACGGGATTTCTTCATTTCATGCTAGACAGAAGAATTCTCAGTAACTTCTTTGTGCTGTGTGTATTCAACTCACAGAGTGGAACGTCCCTTTGCACAGAGCAGATTTGAAACACTCTTTTTGTGGAATTTGCAAGTGGAGATTTCAAGCGATTTGATGCCAACAGTAGAAAAGGAAATATCTTCAAATAAAAACTAGACAGAATCATTCTCAGAAACTACTTTGTGATGTGTGCCTTCAACTCACAGAGTTTAACCTTTCTTTTCTTAGAGCAGTTTAGAAACACTCTGCTTGTTATGTCTGCAAGTGGATATTTGGACCTCTTTGAGGCCTTCGTTGCAAACGGGGTTTCTTCCTTTCATGCTAGACTAAGAAGAGTTCTCAGTAACTTTTTTGTGTTGTGTGTATTCAACTCACAGAGCTGAACCTTGCTTTAGAGAGAGCAGATTTGAAACACTCTTGCTGTGGCATTTTCAGGTGGAGATTTCAAGCGATTTGAGGACAATTGCAGAAAAGGAAATATCTTCGTATAACAACCAGACAGAATCATTCTCAGAAAGTGCTTTGTGTTGTGTGCGTTCAACTCACAGAGTTTAACCTTTCTTTTCATAGAGGAGTTTGGAAACACACTGTTTGTAAAGTCTGCAATTGGATATATGGACCTGTTTGAGGCCTTCGTTGGAAACGGGATTTCTTCATTGAATGCTAGACGGAAGAATTCTCAGTAAATTCTTTGTGTTGTGTGCATTCAACTGACAGAGTGGAACGTCCCTTTAGACAGAGCAGATTTGAAACACTCTTTTTGCGGAATTTGCAAGTGGAGATTTCTAGCCATTTGATGCCAACAGTAGAAAGTGAAATATCTTCAAATAAAAACCAGACAGAATCATTCTCAGAAAATTCTTTGTGATGTGTGCGTTCAACTCACATAGTTTAACCTTTCTTTTCATAGAGCAGTTTGGAAACACTCTGTTTGTAAAGTCTGCAAGTGGATATATGGACCGCATTGAGGCCTTCGTTGGAAACGGGATTTCTTCATTTCATGCTAGACAGAAGAATTCTCAGTAACTTCTTTGTGCTGTGTGTATTCAACTCACAGAGTGGAACGTCCCTTTGCACAGAGCAGATTTGAAACACTCTTTTTGTGGAGTTTGCAAGTGGAGATTTCAAGCGATTTGATGCCAACAGTAGAAAAGGAAATATCTTCAAATAAAAACTAGACAGAATCATTCTCAGAAACTACTTTGTGATGTGTGCCTTCAACTCACAGAGTTTAACCTTTCTTTTCTTAGAGCAGTTTAGAAACACTCTGCTTGTTATGTCTGCAAGTGGATATTTGGACCTCTTTGAGGCCTTCGTTGCAAACGGGGTTTCTTCCTTTCACGCTAGACTAAGAAGAGTTCTCACTAACTTTTTTGTGTTGTGTGTATTCAACTCACAGAGTTGAACCTTGCTTTAGAGAGAGCAGATTTGAAACACTCTTGCTGTGGCATTTTCAGGTGGAGATTTCAAGCGATTTGAGGACAATTGCAGAAAAGGAAATATCTTCGTATAATAACCAGACAGAATCATTCTCAGAAAGTGCTTTGTGTTGTGTGCGTTCAACTCACAGAGTTTAACCTTTCTTTTCATAGAGGAGTTTGGAAACACACTGTTTGTAAAGTCTGCAATTGGATATATGGACCTGTTTGAGGCCTTCGTTGGAAACGGGATTTCTTCATTGAATGCTAGACGGAAGAATTCTCAGTAAATTCTTTGTGTTGTGTGCATTCAACTCACAGAGTGGAACGTCCCTTTAGACAGAGCAGATTTGAAACACTCTTTTTGCGGAATTTGCAAGTGGAGATTTCTAGCCATTTGATGCCAACAGTAGAAAGGGAAATATCTTCCAATAAAAACCAGACAGAATCATTCTCAGAAAATTCTTTGTGATGTGTGCGTTCAACTCACATAGTTTAACCTTTCTTTTCATAGAGCAGTTTGGAAACACTCTGTTTGTAAAGTCTGCAAGTGGATATATGGACCGCATTGAGGCCTTCGTTGGAAACGGGATTTCTTCATTTCATGCTAGACAGAAGAATTCTCAGTAACTTCTTTGTGCTGTGTGTATTCAACTCACAGAGTGGAACGTCCCTTTGCACAGAGCAGATTTGAAACACTCTTTTTGTGGAGTTTGCAAGTGGAGATTTCAAGCGATTTGATGCCAACAGTAGAAAAGGAAATATCTTCAAATAAAAACTAGACAGAATCATTCTCAGAAACTACTTTGTGATGTGTGCCTTCAACTCACAGAGTTTAACCTTTCTTTTCTTAGAGCAGTTTAGAAACACTCTGCTTGTTATGTCTGCAAGTGGATATTTGGACCTCTTTGAGGCCTTCGTTGCAAACGGGGTTTCTTCCTTTCATGCTAGACTAAGAAGAGTTCTCAGTAACTTTTTTGTGTTGTGTGTATTCAACTCACAGAGTTGAACCTTGCTTTAGAGAGAGCAGATTTGAAACACTCTTGCTGTGGCATTTTCAGGTGGAGATTTCAAGCGATTTGAGGACAATTGCAGAAAAGGAAATATCTTCGTATAATAACCAGACAGAATCATTCTCAGAAAGTGCTTTGTGATGTGTGCGTTCCACTCACAGAGTTTAACCTTTCTTTTCATAGAGGAGTTTGGAAACACACTGTTTGTAAAGTCTGCAAGTGGATATATGGACCTGTTTGAGGCCTTCGTTGGAAACGGGATTTCTTCATTGAATGCTAGACGGAAGGATTCTCAGTAAATTCTTTGTGTTGTGTGCATTCAACTCACAGAGTGGAACGTCCCTTTAGACAGAGCAGATTTGAAACACTCTTTTTGCGGAATTTGCAAGTGGAGATTTCTAGCCATTTGATGCCAACAGTAGAAAGGGAAATATCTTCAAATAAAAACCAGACAGAATCATTCTCAGAAAATTCTTTGTGATGTGTGCGTTCAACTCACATAGTTTAACCTTTCTTTTCATAGAGCAGTTTGGAAACACTCTGTTTGTAAAGTCTGCAAGTGGATATATGGACCGCATTGAGGCCTTCGTTGGAAACGGGATTTCTTCATTTCATACTAGACAGAAGAATTCTCAGTAACTTCTTTGTGCTGTGTGTATTCAACTCACAGAGTGGAACGTCCCTTTACACAGAGCAGATTTGAAACACTCTTTTTGTGGAGTTTGCAAGTGGAGATTTCAAGCGATTTGATGCCAACAGTAGAAAAGGAAATATCTTCAAATAAAAACTAGACAGAATCATTCTCAGAAACTACTTTGTGATGTGTGCCTTCAACTCACAGAGTTTAACCTTTCTTTTCTTAGAGCAGTTTAGAAACACTCTGCTTGTTATGTCTGCAAGTGGATATTTGGACCTCTTTGAGGCCTTCGTTGCAAACGGGGTTTCTTCCTTTCATGCTAGACTAAGAAGAGTTCTCAGTAACTTTTTTGTGTTGTGTGTATTCAACTCACAGAGCTGAACCTTGCTTTAGAGAGAGCAGATTTGAAACACTCTTGCTGTGGCATTTTCAGGTGGAGATTTCAAGCGATTTGAGGACAATTGCAGAAAAGGAAATATCTTCGTATAACAACCAGACAGAATCATTCTCAGAAAGTGCTTTGTGATGTGTGCGTTCAACTCACAGAGTTTAACCTTTCTTTTCATAGAGGAGTTTGGAAACACACTGTTTGTAAAGTCTGCAATTGGATATATGGACCTGTTTGAGGCCTTCGTTGGAAACGGGATTTCTTCATTGAATGCTAGACGGAAGAATTCTCAGTAAATTCTTTGTGTTGTGTGCATTCAACTCACAGAGTGGAACGTCCCTTTAGACAGAGCAGATTTGAAACACTCTTTTTGCGGAATTTGCAAGTGGAGATTTCTAGCCATTTGATGCCAACAGTAGAAAGGGAAATATCTTCAAATAAAAACCAGACAGAATCATTCTCAGAAAATTCTTTGTGATGTGTGCGTTCAACTCACATAGTTTAACCTTTCTTTTCATAGAGCAGTTTGGAAACACTCTGTTTGTAAAGTCTGCAAGTGGATATATGGACCGCATTGAGGCCTTCGTTGGAAACGGGATTTCTTCATTTCATGCTAGACAGAAGAATTCTCAGTAACTTCTTTGTGCTGTGTGTATTCAACTCACAGAGTGGAACGTCCCTTTACACAGAACAGATTTGAAACACTCTTTTTGTGGAATTTGCAAGTGGAGATTTCAAGCGATTTGATGCCAACAATAGAAAAGGAAATATCTTCAAATAAAAACTAGACAGAATCATTCTCAGAAACTACTTTGTGATGTGTGCCTTCAACTCACAGAGTTTAACCTTTCTTTTCTTAGAGCAGTTTAGAAACACTCTGCTTGTTATGTCTGCAAGTGGATATTTGGACCTCTTTGAGGCCTTCGTTGCAAACGGGGTTTCTTCCTTTCATGCTAGACTAAGAAGAGTTCTCAGTAACTTTTTTGTGTTGTGTGTATTCAACTCACAGAGTTGAACCTTGCTTTAGAGAGAGCAGATTTGAAACACTCTTGCTGTGGCATTTTCAGGTGGAGATTTCAAGCGATTTGAGGACAATTGCAGAAAAGGAAATATCTTCGTATAATAACCAGACAGAATCATTCTCAGAAAGTGCTTTGTGATGTGTGCGTTCAACTCACAGAGTTTAACCTTTCTTTCCATAGAAGGGTTTGGAAACACACTGTTTGTAAAGTCTGCAATTGGATATATGGACCTCTTTGAGGCCTTCGTTGGAAACGGGATTTCTTCATTGAATGCTAGACGGAAGAATTCTCAGTAAATTCTTTGTGTTGTGTGCATTCAACTCACAGAGTGGAACGTCCCTTTAGACAGAGCAGATTTGAAACACTCTTTTTGCGGAATTTGCAAGTGGAGATTTCTAGCCATTTGATGCCAACAGTAGAAAGGGAAATATCTTCAAATAAAAACCAGACAGAATCATTCTCAGAAAATTCTTTGTGATGTGTGCGTTCAACTCACATAGTTTAACCTTTCTTTTCATAGAGCAGTTTGGAAACACTCTGTTTGTAAAGTCTGCAAGTGGATATATGGACCGCATTGAGGCCTTCGTTGGAAACGGGATTTCTTCATTTCATGCTAGACAGAAGAATTCTCAGTAACTTCTTTGTGCTGTGTGTATTCAACTCACAGAGTGGAACGTCCCTTTGCACAGAGCAGATTTGAAACACTCTTTTTGTGGAATTTGCAAGTGGAGATTTCAAGCGATTTGATGCCAACAGTAGAAAAGGAAATATCTTCAAATAAAAACTAGACAGAATCATTCTCAGAAACTACTTTGTGATGTGTGCCTTCAACTCACAGAGTTTAACCTTTCTTTTCTTAGAGCAGTTTAGAAACACTCTGCTTGTTATGTCTGCAAGTGGATATTTGGACCTCTTTGAGGCCTTCGTTGCAAACGGGGTTTCTTCCTTTCATGCTAGACTAAGAAGAGTTCTCAGTAACTTTTTTGTGTTGTGTGTATTCAACTCACAGAGTTGAACCTTGCTTTAGAGAGAGCAGATTTGAAACACTCTTGCTGTGGCATTTTCAGGTGGAGATTTCAAGCGATTTGAGGACAATTGCAGAAAAGGAAATATCTTCGTATAATAACCAGACAGAATCATTCTCAGAAAGTGCTTTGTGATGTGTGCGTTCCACTCACAGAGTTTAACCTTTCTTTTCATAGAGGAGTTTGGAAACACACTGTTTGTAAAGTCTGCAAGTGGATATATGGACCTGTTTGAGGCCTTCGTTGGAAACGGGATTTCTTCATTGAATGCTAGACGGAAGAATTCTCAGTAAATTCTTTGTGTTGTGTGCATTCAACTCACAGAGTGGAACGTCCCTTTAGACAGAGCAGATTTGAAACACTCTTTTTGCGGAATTTGCAAGTGGAGATTTCTAGCCATTTGATGCCAACAGTAGAAAGGGAAATATCTTCAAATAAAAACCAGACAGAATCATTCTCAGAAACTACTTTGTGATGTGTGCCTTCAACTCACAGAGTTTAACCTTTCTTTTCATAGAGCAGTTTGGAAACACTCTGTTTGTAAAGTCTGCAAGTGGATATATGGACCGCATTGAGGCCTTCGTTGGAAACGGGATTTGCTTCATTTCATGCTAGACAGAAGAATTCTCAGTAACTTCTTTGTGCTGTGTGTATTCAACTCACAGAGTGGAACGTCCCTTTGCACAGAGCAGATTTGAAACACTCTTTTTGTGGAGTTTGCAAGTGGAGATTTCAAGCGATTTGATGCCAACAGTAGAAAAGGAAATATCTTCAAATAAAAACTAGACAGAATCATTCTCAGAAACTACTTTGTGATGTGTGCCTTCAACTCACAGAGTTTAACCTTTCTTTTCTTAGAGCCGTTTAGAAACACTCTGCTTGTTATGTCTGCAAGTGGATATTTGGACCTCTTGAGGCCTTCGTTGCAAACGGGGTTTCTTCCTTTCATGCTAGACTAAGAAGAGTTCTCAGTAACTTTTTTGTGTTGTGTGTATTCAACTCACAGAGTTGAACCTTGCTTTAGAGAGAGCAGATTTGAAACACTCTTGCTGTGGCATTTTCAGGTGGAGATTTCAAGCGATTTGAGGACAATTGCAGAAAAGGAAATATCTTCGTATAATAACCAGACAGAATCATTCTCAGAAAGTGCTTTGTGATGTGTGCGTTCCACTCACAGAGTTTAACCTTTCTTTTCATAGAGGAGTTTGGAAACACACTGTTTGTAAAGTCTGCAAGTGGATATATGGACCTGTTTGAGGCCTTCGTTGGAAACGGGATTTCTTCATTGAATGCTAGACGGAAGAATTCTCAGTAAATTCTTTGTGTTGTGTGCATTCAACTCACAGAGTGGAACGTTCCTTTAGACAGAGCAGATTTGAAACACTCTTTTTGCGGAATTTGCAAGTGGAGATTTCTAGCCATTTGATGCCAACAGTAGAAAGGGAAATATCTTCAAATAAAAACCAGACAGAATCATTCTCAGAAAATTCTTTGTGATGTGTGCGTTCAACTCACATAGTTTAAACCTTTCTTTTCATAGAGCAGTTTGGAAACACTCTGTATGTAAAGTCTGCAAGTGGATATATGGACCGCATTGAGGCCTTCGTTGGAAACGGGATTTCTTCATTTCATGCTAGACAGAAGAATTCTCAGTAACTTCTTTGTGCTGTGTGTATTCAACTCACAGAGTGGAACGTCCCTTTACACAGAGCAGATTTGAAACACTCTTTTTGTGGAGTTTGCAAGTGGAGATTTCAAGCGATTTGATGCCAACAGTAGAAAAGGAAATATCTTCAAATAAAAACTAGACAGAATCATTCTCAGAAACTACTTTGTGATGTGTGCCTTCAACTCACAGAGTTTAACCTTTCTTTTCTTAGAGCAGTTTAGAAACACTCTGCTTGTTATGTCTGCAAGTGGATATTTGGACCTCTTTGAGGCCTTCGTTGCAAACGGGGTTTCTTCCTTTCATGCTAGACTAAGAAGAGTTCTCAGTAACTTTTTTGTGTTGTGTGTATTCAACTCACAGAGTTGAACCTTGCTTTAGAGAGAGCAGATTTGAAACACTCTTGCTGTGGCATTTTCAGGTGGAGATTTCAAGCGATTTGAGGACAATTGCAGAAAAGGAAATATCTTCGTATAATAACCAGACAGAATCATTCTCAGAAAGTGCTTTGTGATGTGTGCGTTCAACTCACAGAGTTTAACCTTTCTTTTCATAGAGGAGTTTGGAAACACACTGTTTGTAAAGTCTGCAAGTGGATATATGGACCTGTTTGAGGCCTTCGTTGGAAACGGGATTTCTTCATTGAATGCTAGACGGAAGAATTCTCAGTAAATTCTTTGTGTTGTGTGCATTCAACTCACAGAGTGGAACGTCCCTTTAGACAGAGCAGATTTGAAACACTCTTTTTGCGGAATTTGCAAGTGGAGATTTCTAGCCATTTGATGCCAACAGTAGAAAGGGAAATATCTTCAAATAAAAACCAGACAGAATCATTCTCAGAAAATTCTTTGTGATGTGTGCGTTCAACTCACATAGTTTAACCTTTCTTTTCATAGAGCAGTTTGGAAACACTCTGTTTGTAAAGTCTGCAAGTGGATCTATGGACCGCATTGAGGCCTTCGTTGGAAACGGGATTTCTTCATTTCATGCTAGACAGAAGAATTCTCAGTAACTTCTTTGTGCTGTGTGTATTCAACTCACAGAGTGGAACGTCCCTTTGCACAGAGCAGATTTGAAACACTCTTTTTGTGGAGTTTGCAAGTGGAGATTTCAAGCGATTTGATGCCAACAGTAGAAAAGGAAATATCTTCAAATAAAAACTAGACAGAATCATTCTCAGAAACTACTTTGTGATGTGTGCCTTCAACTCACAGAGTTTAACCTTTCTTTTCTTAGAGCAGTTTAGAAACACTCTGCTTGTTATGTCTGCAAGTGGATATTTGGACCTCTTTGAGGCCTTCGTTGCAAACGGGGTTTCTTCCTTTAATGCTAGACTAAGAAGAGTTCTCAGTAACTTTTTTGTGTTGTGTGTATTCAACTCACAGAGTTGAACCTTGCTTTAGAGAGAGCAGATTTGAAACACTCTTGCTGTGGCATTTTCAGGTGGAGATTTCAAGCGATTTGAGGACAATTGCAGAAAAGGAAATATCTTCCGTATAATAACCAGACAGAATCATTCTCAGAAAGTGCTTTGTGATGTGTTCGGTTCAACTCACAGAGTTGAACCTTTCTTTTCATAGAGGAGTTTGGAAACACACTGTTTGTAAAGTCTGCAAGTGGATATATGGACCTGTTTGAGGCCTTCGTTGGAAACGGCATTTCTTCATTGAATGCTAGACGGAAGAATTCTCAGTAAATTCTTTGTGTTGTGTGCATTCAACTCACAGAGTGGAACGTCCCTTTAGACAGAGCAGATTTGAAACACTCTTTTTGCGGAATTTGCAAGTGGAGATTTCTAGCCATTTGATGCCAACAGTAGAAAGGGAAATATCTTCAAATAAAAACCAGACAGAATCATTCTCAGAAAATTCTTTGTGATGTGTGCGTTCAACTCACATAGTTTAACCTTTCTTTTCATAGAGCAGTTTGGAAACACTCTGTTTGTAAAGTCTGCAAGTGGATATATGGACCGCATTGAGGCCTTCGTTGGAAACGGGATTTCTTCATTTCATGCTAGACAGAAGAATTCTCAGTAACTTCTTTGTGCTGTGTGTATTCAACTCACAGAGTGGAACCGTCCCTTTGCACAGAGCAGATTTGAAACACTCTTTTTGTGGAGTTTGCAAGTGGAGATTTCAAGCGATTTGATGCCAACAGTAGAAAAGGAAATATCTTCAAATAAAAACTAGACAGAATCATTCTCAGAAACTACTTTGTGATGTGTGCCTTCAACTCACAGAGTTTAACCTTTCTTTTCTTAGAGCAGTTTAGAAACACTCTGCTTGTTATGTCTGCAAGTGGATATTTGGACCTCTTTGAGGCCTTCGTTGCAAACGGGGTTTCTTCCTTTCATGCTAGACTAAGAAGAGTTCTCAGTAACTTTTTTGTGTTGTGTGTATTCAACTCACAGAGTTGAACCTTGCTTTAGAGAGAGCAGATTTGAAACACTCTTGCTGTGGCATTTTCAGGTGGAGATTTCAAGCGATTTGAGGACAATTGCAGAAAAGGAAATATCTTCGTATAATAACCAGACAGAATCATTCTCAGAAAGTGCTTTGTGATGTGTGCGTTCCACTCACAAGAGTTTAACCTTTCTTTTCATAGAGGAGTTTGGAAACACACTGTTTGTAAAGTCTGCAAGTGGATATATGGACCTGTTTGAGGCCTTCGTTGGAAACGGGATTTCTTCATTGAATGCTAGACGGAAGAATTCTCAGTAAATTCTTTGTGTTGTGTGCATTCAACTCACAGAGTGGAACGTCCCTTTAGACAGAGCAGATTTGAAACACTCTTTTTGCGGAATTTGCAAGTGGAGATTTCTAGCCATTTGATGCCAACAGTAGAAAGGGAAATATCTTCAAATAAAAACCAGACAGAATCATTCTCAGAAAATTCTTTGTGATGTGTGCGTTCAACTCACATAGTTTAACCTTTCTTTTCATAGAGCAGTTTGGAAACACTCTGTTTGTAAAGTCTGCAAGTGGATATATGGACCGCATTGAGGCCTTCGTTGGAAACGGGATTTCTTCATTTCATGCTAGACAGAAGAATTCTCAGTAACTTCTTTGTGCTGTGTGTATTCAACTCACAGAGTGGAACGTCCCTTTACACAGAGCAGATTTGAAACACTCTTTTTGTGGAGTTTGCAAGTGGAGATTTCAAGCGATTTGATGCCAACAGTAGAAAAGGAAATATCTTCAAATAAAAACTAGACAGAATCATTCTCAGAAACTACTTTGTGATGTGTGCCTTCAACTCACAGAGTTTAACCTTTCTTTTCTTAGAGCAGTTTAGAAACACTCTGCTTGTTATGTCTGCAAGTGGATATTTGGACCTCTTTGAGGCCTTCGTTGCAAACGGGGTTTCTTCCTTTCATGCTAGACTAAGAAGAGTTCTCAGTAACTTTTTTGTGTTGTGTGTATTCAACTCACAGAGTTGAACCTTGCTTTAGAGAGAGCAGATTTGAAACACTCTTGCTGTGGCATTTTCAGGTGGAGATTTCAAGCGATTTGAGGACAATTGCAGAAAAGGAAATATCTTCGTATAATAACCAGACAGAATCATTCTCAGAAAGTGCTTTGTGATGTGTGCGTTCAACTCACAGAGTTTAACCTTTCTTTTCATAGAGGAGTTTGGAAACACACTGTTTGTAAAGTCTGCAATTGGATATATGGACCTGTTTGAGGCCTTCGTTGGAAACGGGATTTCTTCATTGAATGCTAGACGGAAGAATTCTCAGTAAATTCTTTGTGTTGTGTGCATTCAACTCACAGAGTGGAACGTCCCTTTAGACAGAGCAGATTTGAAACACTCTTTTTGCGGAATTTGCAAGTGGAGATTTCTAGCCATTTGATGCCAACAGTAGAAAGGGAAATATCTTCAAATAAAAACCAGACAGAATCATTCTCAGAAAATTCTTTGTGATGTGTGCGTTCAACTCACATAGTTTAACCTTTCTTTTCATAGAGCAGTTTGGAAACACTCTGTTTGTAAAGTCTGCAAGTGGATATATGGACCGCATTGAGGCCTTCGTTGGAAACGGGATTTCTTCATTTCATGCTAGACAGAAGAATTCTCAGTAACTTCTTTGTGCTGTGTGTATTCAACTCACAGAGTGGAACGTCCCTTTACACAGAGCAGATTTGAAACACTCTTTTTGTGGAATTTGCAAGTGGAGATTTCAAGCGATTTGATGCCAACAGTAGAAAAGGAAATATCTTCAAATAAAAACTAGACAGAATCATTCTCAGAAACTACTTTGTGATGTGTGCCTTCAACTCACAGAGTTTAACCTTTCTTTTCTTAGAGCAGTTTAGAAACACTCTGCTTGTTATGTCTGCAAGTGGATATTTGGACCTCTTTGAGGCCTTCGTTGCAAACGGGGTTTCTTCCTTTCATGCTAGACTAAGAAGAGTTCTCAGTAACTTTTTTGTGTTGTGTGTATTCAACTCACAGAGTTGAACCTTGCTTTAGAGAGAGCAGATTTGAAACACTCTTGCTGTGGCATTTTCAGGTGGAGATTTCAAGCGATTTGAGGACAATTGCAGAAAAGGAAATATCTTCGTATAATAACCAGACAGAATCATTCTCAGAAAGTGCTTTGTGATGTGTGCGTTCCACTCACAGAGTTTAACCTTTCTTTTCATAGAGGAGTTTGGAAACACACTGTTTGTAAAGTCTGCAAGTGGATATATGGACCTGTTTGAGGCCTTCGTTGGAAACGGGATTTCTTCATTGAATGCTAGACGGAAGAATTCTCAGTAAATTCTTTGTGTTGTGTGCATTCAACTCACAGAGTGGAACGTCCCTTTAGACAGAGCAGATTTGAAACACTCTTTTTGCGGAATTTGCAAGTGGAGATTTCTAGCCATTTGATGCCAACAGTAGAAAGGGAAATATCTTCAAATAAAAACCAGACAGAATCATTCTCAGAAAATTCTTTGTGATGTGTGCGTTCAACTCACATAGTTTAACCTTTCTTTTCATAGAGCAGTTTGGAAACACTCTGTTTGTAAAGTCTGCAAGTGGATATATGGACCGCATTGAGGCCTTCGTTGGAAACGGGATTTCTTCATTTCATGCTAGACAGAAGAATTCTCAGTAACTTCTTTGTGCTGTGTGTATTCAACTCACAGAGTGGAACGTCCCTTTGCACAGAGCAGATTTGAAACACTCTTTTTGTGGAGTTTGCAAGTGGAGATTTCAAGCGATTTGATGCCAACAGTAGAAAAGGAAATATCTTCAAATAAAAACTAGACAGAATCATTCTCAGAAACTACTTTGTGATGTGTGCCTTCAACTCACAGAGTTTAACCTTTCTTTTCTTAGAGCAGTTTAGAAACACTCTGCTTGTTATGTCTGCAAGTGGATATTTGGACCTCTTTGAGGCCTTCGTTGCAAACGGGGTTTCTTCCTTTCATGCTAGACTAAGAAGAGTTCTCAGTAACTTTTTTGTGTTGTGTGTATTCAACTCACAGAGTTGAACCTTGCTTTAGAGAGAGCAGATTTGAAACACTCTTGCTGTGGCATTTTCAGGTGGAGATTTCAAGCGATTTGAGGACAATTGCAGAAAAGGAAATATCTTCGTATAATAACCAGACAGAATCATTCTCAGCAAAGTGCTTTGTGATGTGTGCGTTCCACTCACAGAGTTTAACCTTTCTTTTCATAGAGGAGTTTGGAAACACACTGTTTGTAAACTCTGCAAGTGGATATATGGACCTGTTTGAGGCCTTCGTTGGAAACGGGATTTCTTCATTGAATGCTAGACGGAAGAATTCTCAGTAAATTCTTTGTGTTGTGTGCATTCAACTCACAGAGTGGAACGTCCCTTTAGACAGAGCAGATTTGAAACACTCTTTTTGCGGAATTTGCAAGTGGAGATTTCTAGCCATTTGATGCCAACAGTAGAAAGGGAAATATCTTCAAATAAAAACCAGACAGAATCATTCTCAGAAAATTCTTTGTGATGTGTGCGTTCAACTCACATAGTTTAACCTTTCTTTTCATAGAGCAGTTTGGAAACACTCTGTTTGTAAAGTCTGCAAGTGGATATATGGACCGCATTGAGGCCTTCGTTGGAAACGGGATTTCTTCATTTCATGCTAGACAGAAGAATTCTCAGTAACTTCTTTGTGCTGTGTGTATTCAACTCACAGAGTGGAACGTCCCTTTGCACAGAGCAGATTTGAAACACTCTTTTTGTGGAGTTTGCAAGTGGAGATTTCAAGCGATTTGATGCCAACAGTAGAAAAGGAAATATCTTCAAATAAAAACTAGACAGAATCATTCTCAGAAACTACTTTGTGATGTGTGCCTTCAACTCACAGAGTTTAACCTTTCTTTTCTTAGAGCAGCTTAGAAACACTCTGCTTGTTATGTCTGCAAGTGGATATTTGGACCTCTTTGAGGCCTTCGTTGCAAACGGGGTTTCTTCCTTTAATGCTAGACTAAGAAGAGTTCTCAGTAACTTTTTTGTGTTGTGTGTATTCAACTCACAGAGTTGAACCTTGCTTTAGAGAGAGCAGATTTGAAACACTCTTGCTGTGGCATTTTCAGGTGGAGATTTCAAGCGATTTGAGGACAATTGCAGAAAAGGAAATATCTTCGTATAATAACCAGACAGAATCATTCTCAGAAAGTGCTTTGTGATGTGTGCGTTCAACTCACAGAGTTTAACCTTTCTTTTCATAGAGGAGTTTGGAAACACACTGTTTGTAAAGTCTGCAATTGGATATATGGACCTGTTTGAGGCCTTCGTTGGAAACGGGATTTCTTCATTGAATGCTAGACGGAAGAATTCTCAGTAAATTCTTTGTGTTGTGTGCATTCAACTCACAGAGTGGAACGTCCCTTTAGACAGAGCAGATTTGAAACACTCTTTTTGCGGAATTTGCAAGTGGAGATTTCTAGCCATTTGATGCCAACAGTAGAAAGGGAAATATCTTCAAATAAAAACCAGACAGAATCATTCTCAGAAAATTCTTTGTGATGTGTGCGTTCAACTCACATAGTTTAACCTTTCTTTTCATAGAGCAGTTTGGAAACACTCTGTTTGTAAAGTCTGCAAGTGGATATATGGACCGCATTGAGGCCTTCGTTGGAAACGGGATTTCTTCATTTCATGCTAGACAGAAGAATTCTCAGTAACT
This sequence comes from Homo sapiens, assembly GCF_000001405.40. Classification (NCBI taxonomy): domain Eukaryota; kingdom Metazoa; phylum Chordata; class Mammalia; order Primates; family Hominidae; genus Homo; species Homo sapiens. The sequence goes on from NC_000007.14 coordinate 60,810,197, forward strand.
TCTTTGTGCTGTGTGTATTCAACTCACAGAGTGGAACGTCCCTTTGCACAGAGCAGATTTGAAACACCTTTTTGTGGAATTTGCAAGTGGAGATTTCAAGCGATTTGATGCCAACAGTAGAAAAGGAAATATCTTCAAATAAAAACTAGACAGAATCATTCTCAGAAACTACTTTGTGATGTGTGCCTTCAACTCACAGAGTTTAACCTTTCTTTTCTTAGAGCAGTTTAGAAACACTCTGCTTGTTATGTCTGCAAGTGGATATTTGGACCTCTTTGAGGCCTTCGTTGCAAACGGGGTTTCTTCCTTTCATGCTAGACTAAGAAGAGTTCTCAGTAACTTTTTTGTGTTGTGTGTATTCAACTCACAGAGTTGAACCTTGCTTTAGAGAGAGCAGATTTGAAACACTCTTGCTGTGGCATTTTCAGGTGGAGATTTCAAGCGATTTGAGGACAATTGCAGAAAAGGAAATATCTTCGTATAATAACCAGACAGAATCATTCTCAGAAAGTGCTTTGTGATGTGTGCGTTCCACTCACAGAGTTTAACCTTTCTTTTCATAGAGGAGTTTGGAAACACACTGTTTGTAAAGTCTGCAATTGGATATATGGACCTGTTTGAGGCCTTCGTTGGAAACGGGATTTCTTCATTGAATGCTAGACGGAAGAATTCTCAGTAAATTCTTTGTGTTGTGTGCATTCAACTCACAGAGTGGAACGTCCCTTTAGACAGAGCAGATTTGAAACACTCTTTTTGCGGAATTTGCAAGTGGAGATTTCTAGCCATTTGATGCCAACAGTAGAAAGGGAAATATCTTCAAATAAAAACCAGACAGAATCATTCTCAGAAAATTCTTTGTGATGTGTGCGTTCAACTCACATAGTTTAACCTTTCTTTTCATAGAGCAGTTTGGAAACACTCTGTTTGTAAAGTCTGCAAGTGGATATATGGACCGCATTGAGGCCTTCGTTGGAAACGGGATTTCTTCATTTCATGCTAGACAGAAGAATTCTCAGTAACTTCTTTGTGCTGTGTGTATTCAACTCACAGAGTGGAACGTCCCTTTGCACAGAGCAGATTTGAAACACTCTTTTTGTGGAGTTTGCAAGTGGAGATTTCAAGCGATTTGATGCCAACAGTAGAAAAGGAAATATCTTCAAATAAAAACTAGACAGAATCATTCTCAGAAACTACTTTGTGATGTGTGCCTTCAACTCACAGAGTTTAACCTTTCTTTTCTTAGAGCAGTTTAGAAACACTCGGCTTGTTATGTCTGCAAGTGGATATTTGGACCTCTTTGAGGCCTTCGTTGCAAACGGGGTTTCTTCCTTTCATGCTAGACTAAGAAGAGTTCTCAGTAACTTTTTTGTGTTGTGTGTATTCAACTCACAGAGTTGAACCTTGCTTTAGAGAGAGCAGATTTGAAACACTCTTGCTGTGGAATTTTCAGGTGGAGATTTCAAGCGATTTGAGGACAATTGCAGAAAAGGAAATATCTTCGTATAATAACCAGACAGAATCATTCTCAGAAAGTGCTTTGTGATGTGTGCGTTCCACTCACAGAGTTTAACCTTTCTTTTCATAGAGGAGTTTGGAAACACACTGTTTGTAAAGTCTGCAACTGGATATATGGACCTGTTTGAGGCCTTCGTTGGAAACGGGATTTCTTCTTTGCATGCTAGACGGAAGAATTCTCAGTAAATTCTTTGTGTTGTGTGCATTCAACTCACAGAGTGGAACGTCCCTTTAGACAGAGCAGATTTGAAACACTCTTTTTGCGGAATTTGCAAGTGGAGATTTCTAGCCATTTGATGCCAACAGTAGAAAGGGAAATATCTTCAAATAAAAACCAGACAGAATCATTCTCAGAAAATTCTTTGTGATGTGTGCGTTCAACTCACATAGTTTAACCTTTCTTTTCATAGAGCAGTTTGGAAACACTCTGTTTGTAAAGTCTGCAAGTGGATATATGGAGCGCATTGAGGCCTTCGTTGGAAACGGGATTTCTTCATTTCATGCTAGACAGAAGAATTCTCAGTAACTTCTTTGTGCTGTGTGTATTCAACTCACAGAGTGGAACGTCCCTTTGCACAGAGCAGATTTGAAACACTCTTTTTGTGGAGTTTGCAAGTGGAGATTTCAAGCGATTTGATGCCAACAGTAGAAAAGGAAATATCTTCAAATAAAAACTAGACAGAATCATTCTCAGAAACTACTTTGTGATGTGTGCCTTCAACTCACAGAGTTTAACCTTTCTTTTCTTAGAGCAGTTTAGAAACACTCTGCTTGTTATGTCTGCAAGTGGATATTTGGACCTCTTTGAGGCCTTCGTTGCAAACGGGGTTTCTTCCTTTCATGCTAGACTAAGAAGAGTTCTCAGTAACTTTTTTGTGTTGTGTGTATTCAACTCACAGAGTTGAACCTTGCTTTAGAGAGAGCAGATTTGAAACACTCTTGCTGTGGCATTTTCAGGTGGAGATTTCAAGCGATTTGAGGACAATTGCAGAAAAGGAAATATCTTCGTATAATAACCAGACAGAATCATTCTCAGAAAGTGCTTTGTGATGTGTGCGTTCCACTCACAGAGTTTAACCTTTCTTTTCATAGAGGAGTTTGGAAACACACTGTTTGTAAAGTCTGCAAGTGGATATATGGACCTGTTTGAGGCCTTCGTTGGAAACGGGATTTCTTCATTGAATGATAGACGGAAGAATTCTCAGTAAATTCTTTGTGTTGTGTGCATTCAACTCACAGAGTGGAACGTCCCTTTAGACAGAGCAGATTTGAAACACTCTTTTTGCGGAATTTGCAAGTGGAGATTTCTAGCCATTTGATGCCAACAGTAGAAAGGGAAATATCTTCAAATAAAAACCAGACAGAATCATTCTCAGAAAATTCTTTGTGATGTGTGCGTTCAACTCACATAGTTTAACCTTTCTTTTCATAGAGCAGTTTGGAAACACTCTGTTTGTAAAGTCTGCAAGTGGATATATGGACCGCATTGAGGCCTTCGTTGGAAACGGGATTTCTTCATTTCATGCTAGACAGAAGAATTCTCAGTAACTTCTTTGTGCTGTGTGTATTCAACTCACAGAGTGGAACGTCCCTTTACACAGAGCACATTTGAAACACTCTTTTTGTGGAGTTTGCAAGTGGAGATTTCAAGCGATTTGATGCGAACAGTAGAAAAGGAAATATCTTCAAATAAAAACTAGACAGAATCATTCTCAGAAACTACTTTGTGATGTGTGCCTTCAACTCACAGAGTTTAACCTTTCTTTTCTTAGAGCACTTTAGAAACACTCTGCTTGTTATGTCTGCAAGTGGATATTTGGACCTCTTTGAGGCCTTCGTTGCAAACGGGGTTTCTTCCTTTCATGCTAGACTAAGAAGAGTTCTCAGTAACTTTTTTGTGTTGTGTGTATTCAACTCACAGAGTTGAACCTTACTTTAGAGAGAGCAGATTTGAAACACTCTTGCTGTGGCATTTTCAGGTGGAGATTTCAAGCGATTTGAGGACAATTGCAGAAAAGGAAATATCTTCGTATAATAACCAGACAGAATCATTCTCAGAAAGTGCTTTGTGATGTGTGCGTTCCACTCACAGAGTTTAACCTTTCTTTTCATAGAGGAGTTTGGAAACACACTGTTTGTAAAGTCTGCAAGTGGATATATGGACCTGTTTGAGGCCTTCGTTGGAAACGGGATTTCTTCATTGAATGCTAGACGGAAGAATTCTCAGTAAATTCTTTGTGTTGTGTGCATTCAACTCACAGAGTGGAACGTCCCTTTAGACAGAGCAGATTTGAAACACTCTTTTTGCGGAATTTGCAAGTGGAGATTTCTAGCCATTTGATGCCAACAGTAGAAAGGGAAATATCTTCAAATAAAAACCAGACAGAATCATTCTCAGAAAATTCTTTGTGATGTGTGCGTTCAACTCACATAGTTTAACCTTTCTTTTCATAGAGCAGTTTGGAAACACTCTCTTTGTAAAGTCTGCAAGTGGATATATGGACCGCATTGAGGCCTTCGTTGGAAACGGGATTTCTTCATTTCATGCTAGACAGAAGAATTCTCAGTAACTTCTTTGTGCTGTGTGTATTCAACTCACAGAGTGGAACGTCCCTTTGCACAGAGCAGATTTAAAACACTCTTTTTGTGGAGTTTGCAAGTGGAGATTTCAAGCGATTTGATGCCAACAGTAGAAAAGGAAATATCTTCAAATAAAAACTAGACAGAACCATTCTCAGAAACTACTTTGTGATGTGTGCCTTCAACTCACAGAGTTTAACCTTTCTTTTCTTAGAGCAGTTTAGAAACACTCTGCTTGTTATGTCTGCAACTGGATATTTGGACCTCTTTGAGGCCTTCGTTGCAAACGGGGTTTCTTCCTTTCATGCTAGACTAAGAAGAGTTCTCAGTAACTTTTTTGTGTTGTGTGTATTCAACTCACAGAGTTGAACCTTGCTTTAGAGAGAGCAGATTTGAAACACTCTTGCTGTGGCATTTTCAGGTGGAGATTTCAAGCGATTTGAGGACAATTGCAGAAAAGGAAATATCTTCGTATAACAACCAGACAGAATCATTCTCAGAAAGTGCTTTGTGATGTGTGCGTTCCACTCACAGAGTTTAACCTTTCTTTTCATAGAGGAGTTTGGAAACACACTGTTTGTAAAGTCTGCAAGTGGATATATGGACCTGTTTGAGGCCTTCGTTGGAAACGGGATTTCTTCATTGAATGCTAGACGGAAGAATTCTCAGTAAATTCTTTGTGTTGTGTGCATTCAACTCACAGAGTGGAACGTCCCTTTAGACAGAGCAGATTTGAAACACTCTTTTTGCGGAATTTGCAAGTGGAGATTTCTAGCCATTTGATGCCAACAGTAGAAAGGGAAATATCTTCAAATAAAAACCAGACAGAATCATTCTCAGAAAATTCTTTGTGATGTGTGCGTTCAACTCACATAGTTTAACCTTTCTTTTCATAGAGCAGTTTGGAAACACTCTGTTTGTAAAGTCTGCAAGTGGATATATGGACCGCATTGAGGCCTTCGTTGGAAACGGGATTTCTTCATTTCATGCTAGACAGAAGAATTCTCAGTAACTTCTTTGTGCTGTGTGTATTCAACTCACAGAGTGGAACGTCCCTTTGCACAGAGCAGATTTGAAACACTCTTTTTGTGCAGTTTGCAAGTGGAGATTTCAAGCGATTTGATGCCAACAGTAGAAAATGAAATATCTTCAAATAAAAACTAGACAGAATCATTCTCAGAAACTACTTTGTGATGTGTGCCTTCAACTCACAGAGTTTAACCTTTCTTTTCTTAGAGCAGTTTAGAAACACTCTGCTTGTTATGTCTGCAAGTGGATATTTGGACCTCTTTGAGGCCTTCGTTGCAAACGGGGTTTCTTCCTTTCATGCTAGACTAAGAAGAGTTCTCAGTAACTTTTTTGTGTTGTGTGTATTCAACTCACAGAGTTGAACCTTGCTTTAGAGAGAGCAGATTTGAAACACTCTTGCTGTGGCATTTTCAGGTGGAGATATCAAGCGATTTGAGGACAATTGCAGAAAAGGAAATATCTTCGTATAATAACCAGACAGAATCATTCTCAGAAAGTGCTTTGTGATGTGTGCGTTCAACTCACAGAGTTTAACCTTTCTTTTCATAGAGGAGTTTGGAAACACACTGTTTGTAAAGTCTGCAATTGGATATATGGACCTGTTTGAGGCCTTCGTTGGAAACGGGATTTCTTCATTGAATGCTAGACGGAAGAATTCTCAGTAAATACATTGTGTTGTGTGCATTCAACTGACAGAGTGGAACGTCCCTTTAGACAGAGCAGATTTGAAACACTCTTTTTGCGGAATTTGCAAGTGGAGATTTCTAGCCATTTGATGCCAACAGTAGAAAGGGAAATATCTTCAAATAAAAACCAGACAGAATCATTCTCAGAAAATTCTTTGTGATGTGTGCGTTCAACTCACATAGTTTAACCTTTCTTTTCATAGAGCAGTTTGGAAACACTCTGTTTGTAAAGTCTGCAAGTGGATATATGGACCGCATTGAGGCCTTCGTTGGAAACGGGATTTCTTCATTTCATGCTAGACAGAAGATTCTCAGTAACTTCTTTGTGCTGTGTGTATTCAACTCACAGAGTGGAACGTCCCTTTGCACAGAGCAGATTTGAAACACTCTTTTTGTGGAGTTTGCAAGTGGAGATTTCAAGCGATTTGATGCCAACAGTAGAAAAGGAAATATCTTCAAATAAAAACTAGACAGAATCATTCTCAGAAACTACTTTGTGATGTGTGCCTTCAACTCACAGAGTTTAACCTTTCTTTTCTTAGAGCAGTTTAGAAACACTCTGCTTGTTATGTCTGCAAGTGGATATTTGGACCTCTTTGAGGCCTTCGTTGCAAACGGGGTTTCTTCCTTTCATGCTAGACTAAGAAGAGTTCTCAGTAACTTTTTTGTGTTGTGTGTATTCAACTCACAGAGTTGAACCTTGCTTTAGAGAGAGCAGATTTGAAACACTCTTGCTGTGGCATTTTCAGGTGGAGATTTCAAGCGATTTGAGGACAATTGCAGAAAAGGAAATATCTTCGTATAATAACCAGACAGAATCATTCTCAGAGAGTGCTTTGTGATGTGTGCGTTCAACTCACAGAGTTTAACCTTTCTTTTCATAGAGGAGTTTGGAAACACACTGTTTGTAAAGTCTGCAATTGGATATATGGACCTGTTTGAGGCCTTCGTTGGAAACGGGATTTCTTCATTGACTGCTAGACGGAAGAATTCTCAGTAAATTCTTTGTGTTGTGTGCATTCAACTCACAGAGTGGAACGTCCCTTTAGACAGAGCAGATTTGAAACACTCTTTTTGCGGAATTTGCAAGTGGAGATTTCTAGCCATTTGATGCCAACAGTAGAAAGGGAAATATCTTCAAATAAAAACCAGACAGAATCATTCTCAGAAAATTCTTTGTGATGTGTGCGTTCAACTCACATAGTTTAACCTTTCTTTTCATAGAGCAGTTTGGAAACACTCTGTTTGTAAAGTCTGCAAGTGGATATATGGACCGCATTGAGGCCTTCGTTGGAAACGGGATTTCTTCATTTCATGCTAGACAGAAGAATTCTCAGTAACTTCTTTGTGCTGTGTGTATTGAACTCACAGAGTGGAACGTCCCTTTGCACAGAGCAGATTTGAAACACTCTTTTTGTGGAATTTGCAAGTGGAGATTTCAAGCGATCTGATGCCAACAGTAGAAAAGGAAATATCTTCAAATAAAAACTAGACAGAATCATTCTCAGAAACTACTTTGTGATGTGTGCCTTCAACTCACAGAGTTTAACCTTTCTTTTCTTAGAGCAGTTTAGAAACACTCTGCTTGTTATGTCTGCAAGTGGATATTTGGACCTCTTTGAGGCCTTCGTTGCAAACGGGGTTTCTTCCTTTCATGCTAGACTAAGAAGAGTTCTCAGTAACTTTTTTGTGTTGTGTGTATTCAACTCACAGAGTTGAACCTTGCTTTAGAGAGAGCAGATTTGAAACACTCTTGCTGTGGCATTTTCAGGTGGAGATTTCAAGCGATTTGAGGACAATTGCAGAAAAGGAAATATCTTCGTATAATAACCAGACAGAATCATTCTCAGAAAGTGCTTTGTGATGTGTGCGTTCAACTCACAGAGTTTAACCTTTCTTTTCATAGAGGAGTTTGGAAACACACTGTTTGTAAAGTCTGCAATTGGATATATGGACCTGTTTGAGGCCTTCGTTGGAAACGGGATTTCTTCATTGAATGCTAGACGGAAGAATTCTCAGTAAATTCTTTGTGTTGTGTGCATTCAACTCACAGAGTGGAACGTCCCTTTAGACAGAGCAGATTTGAAACACTCTTTTTGCGGAATTTGCAAGTGGAGATTTCTAGCCATTTGATGCCAACAGTAGAAAGGGAAATATCTTCAAATAAAAACCAGACAGAATCATTCTCAGAAAATTCTTTGTGATGTGTGCGTTCAACTCACATAGTTTAACCTTTCTTTTCATAGAGCAGTTTGGAAACACTCTGTTTGTAAAGTCTGCAAGTGGATATATGGACCGCATTGAGGCCTTCGTTGGAAACGGGATTTCTTCATTTCATGCTAGACAGAAGAATTCTCAGTAACTTCTTTGTGCTGTGTGTATTCAACTCACAGAGTGGAACGTCCCTTTGCACAGAGCAGATTTGAAACACTCTTTTTGTGGAGTTTGCAAGTGGAGATTTCAAGCGATTTGATGCCAACAGTAGAAAAGGAAATATCTTCAAATAAAAACTAGACAGAATCATTCTCAGAAACTACTTTGTGATGTGTGCCTTCAAGTCACAGAGTTTAACCTTTCTTTTCTTAGAGCAGTTTAGAAACACTCTGCTTGTTATGTCTGCAAGTGGATATTTGGACCTCTTTGAGGCCTTCGTTGCAAACGGGGTTTCTTCCTTTAATGCTAGACTAAGAAGAGTTCTCAGTAACTTTTTTGTGTTGTGTGTATTCAACTCACAGAGTTGAACCTTGCTTTAGAGAGAGCAGATTTGAAACACTCTTGCTGTGGCATTTTCAGGTGGAGATTTCAAGCGTTTTGAGGACAATTGCAGAAAAGGAAATATCTTCGTATAATAACCAGACAGAATCATTCTCAGAAAGTGCTTTGTGATGTGTGCGTTCAACTCACAGAGTTTAACCTTTCTTTTCATAGAGGAGTTTGGAAACACACTGTTTGTAAAGTCTGCAATTGGATATATGGACCTGTTTGAGGCCTTCGTTGGAAACGGGATTTCTTCATTGCATGCTAGACGGAAGAATTCTCAGTAAATTCTTTGTGTTGTGTGCATTCAACTCACAGAGTGGAACGTCCCTTTAGACAGAGCAGATTTGAAACACTCTTTTTGCGGAATTTGCAAGTGGAGATTTCTAGCCATTTGATGCCAACAGTAGAAAGGGAAATATCTTCAAATAAAAACCAGACAGAATCATTCTCAGAAAATTCTTTGTGATGTGTGCGTTCAACTCACATAGTTTAACCTTTCTTTTCATAGAGCAGTTTGGAAACACTCTGTTTGTAAAGTCTGCAAGTGGATATATGGACCGCATTGAGGCCTTCGTTGGAAACGGGATTTCTTCATTTCATGCTAGACAGAAGAATTCTCAGTAACTTCTTTGTGCTGTGTGTATTCAACTCACAGAGTGGAACGTCCCTTTACACAGAGCAGATTTGAAACACTCTTTTTGTGGAGTTTGCAAGTGGAGATTTCAAGCGATTTGATGCCAACAGTAGAAAAGGAAATATCTTCAAATAAAAACTAGACAGAATCATTCCCAGAAACTACTTTGTGATGTGTGCCTTCAACTCACAGAGTTTAACCTTTCTTTTCTTAGAGCAGTTTAGAAACACTCTGCTTGTTATGTCTGCAAGTGGATATTTTGACCTCTTTGAGGCCTTCGTTGCAAACGGGGTTTCTTCTTTTCATGCTAGACTAAGAAGAGTTCTCAGTAACTTTTTTGTGTTGTGTGTATTCAACTCACAGAGTTGAACCTTGCTTTAGAGAGAGCAGATTTGAAACACTCTTGCTGTGGCATTTTCAGGTGGAGATTTCAAGCGATTTGAGGACAATTGCAGAAAAGGAAATATCTTCGTATAATAACCAGACAGAATCATTCTCAGAAAGTGCTTTGTGATGTGTGCGTTCAACTCACAGAGTTTAACCTTTCTTTTCATAGAGGAGTTTGGAAACACACTGTTTGTAAAGTCTGCAAGTGGATATATGGACCTGTTTGAGGCCTTCGTTGGAAACGGGATTTCTTCATTGAATGCTAGACGGAAGAATTCTCAGTAAATTCTTTGTGTTGTGTGCATTCAACTCACAGAGTGGAACGTCCCTTTAGACAGAGCAGATTTGAAACACTCTTTTTGCGGAATTTGCAAGTGGAGATTTCTAGCCATTTGATGCCAACAGTAGAAAGGGAAATATCTTCAAATAAAAACCAGACAGAATCATTCTCAGAAAATTCTTTGTGATGTGTGCGTTCAACTCACATAATTTAACCTTTCTTTTCATAGAGCAGTTTGGAAACACTCTGTTTGTAAAGTCTGCAAGTGGATATATGGACCGCATTGAGGCCTTCGTTGGAAACGGGATTTCTTCATTTCATGCTAGACAGAAGAATTCTCAGTAACTTCTTTGTGCTGTGTGTATTCAACTCACAGAGTGGAACGTCCCTTTGCACAGAGCAGATTTGAAACACTCTTTTTGTGGAATTTGCAAGTGGAGATTTCAAGCGATTTGATGCCAACAGTAGAAAAGGAAATATCTTCAAATAAAAACTAGACAGAATCATTCTCAGAAACTACTTTGTGATGTGTGCCTTCAACTCACAGAGTTTAACCTTTCTTTTCTTAGAGCAGTTTAGAAACACTCTGCTTGTTATGTCTGCAAGTGGATATTTGGACCTCTTTGAGGCCTTCGTTGCAAACGGGGTTTCTTCCTTTCATGCTAGACTAAGAAGAGTTCTCAGTAACTTTTCTGTGTTGTGTGTATTCAACTCACAGAGTTGAACCTTGCTTTAGAGAGAGCAGATTTGAAACACTCTTGCTGTGACATTTTCAGGTGGAGATTTCAAGCGATTTGAGGACAATTGCAGAAAAGGAAATATCTTCGTATAACAACCAGACAGAATCATTCTCAGAAAGTGCTTTGTGATGTGTGCGTTCAACTCACAGAGTTTAACCTTTCTTTCCATAGAGGAGTTTGGAAACACACTGTTTGTAAAGTCTGCAATTGGATATATGGACCTGTTTGAGGCCTTCGTTGGAAACGGGATTTCTTCATTGAATGCTAGACGGAAGAATTCTCAGTAAATTCTTTGTGTTGTGTGCATTCAACTCACAGAGTGGAACGTCCCTTTAGACAGAGCAGATTTGAAACACTCTTTTTGCGGAATTTGCAAGTGGAGATTTCTAGCCATTTGATGCCAACAGTAGAAAGGGAAATATCTTCAAATAAAAACCAGACAGAATCATTCTCAGAAAATTCTTTTTGATGTGTGCGTTCAACTCACATAGTTTAACCTTTCTTTTCATAGAGCAGTTTGGAAACACTCTGTTTGTAAAGTCTGCAAGTGGATATATGGACCGCATTGAGGCCTTCGTTGGAAACGGGATTTCTTCATTTCATGCTAGACAGAAGAATTCTCAGTAACTTCTTTGTGCTGTGTGTATTCAACTCACAGAGTGGAACGTCCCTTTACACAGAGCAGATTTGAAACACTCTTTTTGTGGAATTTGCAAGTGGAGATTTCAAGCGATTTGATGCCAACAGTAGAAAAGGAAATATCTTCAAATAAAAACTAGACAGAATCATTCTCAGAAACTACTTTGTGATGTGTGCCTTCAACTCACAGAGTTTAACCTTTCTTTTCTTAGAGCAGTTTAGAAACACTCTGCTTGTTATGTCTGCAAGTGGATATTTGGACCTCTTTGAGGCCTTCGTTGCAAACGGGGTTTCTTCCTTTCATGCTAGACTAAGAAGAGTTCTCAGTAACTTTTTTGTGTTGTGTGTATTCAACTCACAGAGTTGAACCTTGCTTTAGAGAGAGCAGATTTGAAACACTCTCGCTGTGGAATTTTCAGGTGGAGATTTCAAGCGATTTGAGGACAATTGCAGAAAAGGAAATATCTTCGTATAATAACCAGACAGAATCATTCTCAGAAAGTGCTTTGTGATGTGTGCGTTCCACTCACAGAGTTTAACCTTTCTTTTCATAGAGGAGTTTGGAAACACACTGTTTGTAAAGTCTGCAAGTGGATATATGGACCGCTTTGAGGCCTTCGTTGGAAACGGGATTTCTTCATTGAATGCTAGGCGGAAGAATTCTCAGTAAATTCTTTGTGTTGTGTGCATTCAACTCACAGAGTGGAACGTCCCTTTAGACAGAGCAGATTTGAAACACTCTTTTTGCGGAATTTGCAAGTGGAGATTTCTAGCCATTTGATGCCAACAGTAGAAAGGGAAATATCTTCAAATAAAAACCAGACAGAATCATTCTCAGAAAATTCTTTGTGATGTGTGCGTTCAACTCACATACTTTAACCTTTCTTTTCATAGAGCAGTTTGGAAACACTCTGTTTGTAAAGTCTGCAAGTGGATCTATGGACCGCATTGAGGCCTTCGTTGGAAACGGGATTTCTTCATTTCATGCTAGACAGAAGAATTCTCAGTAACTTCTTTGTGCTGTGTGTATTCAACTCACAGAGTGGAATGTCTCTTTACAGAGAGCAGATTTGAAACACTCTTTTTGTGGAATTTGCAAGTGGAGATTTCAAGCGATTTGATGCCAACAGTAGAAAAGGAAATATCTTCAAATAAAAACTAGACAGAATCATTCTCAGAAACTACTTTGTGATGTGTGCCTTCAACTCACAGAGTTTAACCTTTCTTTTCTTAGAGCAGTTTAGAAACACTCTGCTTGTTATGTCTGCAAGTGGATATTTGGACCTCTTTGAGGCCTTCGTTGCAAACGGGGTTTCTTCCTTTCATGCTAGACTAAGAAGAGTTCTCAGTAACTTTTTTGTGTTGTGTGTATTCAACTCACAGAGTTGAACCTTGCTTTAGAGAGAGCAGATTTGAAACACTCTTGCTGTGGCATTTTCAGGTGGAGATTTCAAGCGGTTTGAGGACAATTGCAGAAAAGGAAATATATTCGTATAATAACCAGACAGAATCATTCTCAGAAAGTGCTTTGTGATGTGTGCGTTCAACTCACAGAGTTTAACCTTTCTTTTCATAGAGGAGTTTGGAAACACACTGTTTGTAAAGTCTGCAAGTGGATATATGGACCTGTTTGAGGCCTTCGTTGGAAACGGGATTTCTTCATTGAATGCTAGACGGAAGAATTCTCAGTAAATTCTTTGTGTTGTGTGCATTCAACTCACAGAGTGGAACGTCCCTTTAGACAGAGCAGATTTGAAACACTCTTTTTGCGGAATTTGCAAGTGGAGATTTCTAGCCATTTGATGCCAACAGTAGAAAGGGAAATATCTTCAAATAAAAACCAGACAGAATCATTCTCAGAAAATTCTTTGTGATGTGTGCGTTCAACTCACATAGTTTAACCTTTCTTTTCATAGAGCAGTTTGGAAACACTCTGTTTGTAAAGTCTGCAAGTGGATCTATGGACCGCATTGAGGCCTTCGTTGGAAACGGGATTTCTTCATTTCATGCTAGACAGAAGAATTCTCAGTAACTTCTTTGTGCTGCGTGTATTCAACTCACAGAGTGGAACGTCCCTTTGCACAGAGCAGATTTGAAACACTCTTTTTGTGGAGTTTGCAAGTGGAGATTTCAAGCGATTTGATGCCAACAGTAGAAAAGGAAATATCTTCAAATAAAAACTAGAGAGAATCATTCTCAGAAACTACTTTGTGATGTGTGCCTTCAACTCACAGAGTTTAACCTTTCTTTTCTTAGAGCAGTTTAGAAACACTCTGCTTGTTATGTCTGCAAGTGGATATTTGGACCTCTTTGAGGCCTTCGTTGCAAACGGGGTTTCTTCCTTTAATGCTAGACTAAGAAGAGTTCTCAGTAACTTTTTTGTGTTGTGTGTATTCAACTCACAGAGTTGAACCTTGCTTTAGAGAGAGCAGATTTGAAACACTCTTGCTGTGGCATTTTCAGGTGGAGATTTCAAGCGATTTGAGGACAATTGCAGAAAAGGAAATATCTTCGTATAATAACCAGAGAGAATCATTCTCAGAAAGTGCTTTGTGATGTGTGCGTTCAACTCACAGAGTTTAACCTTTCTTTCCATAGAGGAGTTTGGAAACACACTGTTTGTAAAGTCTGCAAGTGGATATATGGACCTGTTTGAGGCCTTCTTTGGAAACGGGATTTCTTCATTGAATGCTAGACGGAAGAATTCTCAGTAAATTCTTTGTGTTGTGTGCATTCAACTCACAGAGTGGAACGTCCCTTTAGACAGAGCAGATTTGAAACACTCTTTTTGCGGAATTTGCAAGTGGAGATTTCTAGCCATTTGATGCCAACAGTAGAAAGGGAAATATCTTCAAATAAAAACCAGACAGAATCATTCTCAGAAAATTCTTTGTGATGTGTGCGTTCAACTCACATAGTTTAACCTTTCTTTTCATAGAGCAGTTTGGAAACACTCTGTTTGTAAAGTCTGCAAGTGGATATATGGACCGCATTGAGGCCTTCGTTGGAAACGGGATTTCTTCATTTCATGCTAGACAGAAGAATTCTCAGTAACTTCTTTGTGCTGTGTGTATTCAACTCACAGAGTGGAACGTCCCTTTACACAGAGCAGATTTGAAACACTCTTTTTGTGGAGTTTGCAAGTGGAGATTTCAAGCGATTTGATGCCAACAGTAGAAAAGGAAATATCTTCAAATAAAAACTAGACAGAATCATTCTCAGAAACTACTTTGTGATGTGTGCCTTCAACTCACAGAGTTTAACCTTTCTTTTCTTAGAGCAGTTTAGAAACACTCTGCTTGTTATGTCTGCAAGTGGATATTTGGACCTCTTTGAGGCCTTCGTTGCAAACGGGGTTTCTTCCTTTCATGCTAGACTAAGAAGAGTTCTCAGTAACTTTTTTGTGTTGTGTGTATTCAACTCACAGAGTTGAACCTTGCTTTAGAGAGAGCAGATTTGAAACACTCTTGCTGTGGCATTTTCAGGTGGAGATTTCAAGCGTTTTGAGGACAATTGCAGAAAAGGAAATATCTTCGTATAATAACCAGACAGAATCATTCTCAGAAAGTGCTTTGTGATGTGTGCGTTCCACTCACAGAGTTTAACCTTTCTTTTCATAGAGGAGTTTGGAAACACACTGTTTGTAAAGTCTGCAAGTGGATATATGGACCTGTTTGAGGCCTTCGTTGGAAACGGGATTTCTTCATTGAATGCTAGACGGAAGAATTCTCAGTAAATTCTTTGTGTTGTGTGCATTCAACTCACAGAGTGGAACGTCCCTTTAGACAGAGCAGATTTGAAACACTCTTTTTGCGGAATTTGCAAGTGGAGATTTCTAGCCATTTGATGCCAACAGTAGAAAGGGAAATATCTTCAAATAAAAACCAGACAGAATCATTCTCAGAAAATTCTTTGTGATGTGTGCGTTCAACTCACATAGTTTAACCTTTCTTTTCATAGAGCAGTTTGGAAACACTCTGTTTGTAAAGTCTGCAAGTGGATATATGGACCGCATTGAGGCCTTCGTTGGAAACGGGATTTCTTCATTTCATGCTAGACAGAAGAATTCTCAGTAACTTCTTTGTGCTGTGTGTATTCAACTCACAGAGTGGAACGTCCCTTTGCACAGAGCAGATTTGAAACACTCTTTTTGTGGAGTTTGCAAGTGGAGATTTCAAGCGATTTGATGCCAACAGTAGAAAAGGAAATATCTTCAAATAAAAACTAGACAGAATCATTCTCAGAAACTACTTTGTGATGTGTGCCTTCAACTCACAGAGTTTAACCTTTCTTTTCTTAGAGCAGTTTAGAAACACTCTGCTTGTTATGTCTGCAAGTGGATATTTGGACCTCTTTGAGGCCTTCGTTGCAAACGGGGTTTCTTCCTTTCATGCTAGACTAAGAAGAATTCTCAGTAACTTTTTTGTGTTGTGTGTATTCAACTGACAGAGTTGAACCTTGCTTTAGAGAGAGCAGATTTGAAACACTCTTGCTGTGGCATTTTCAGGTGGAGATTTCAAGCGATTTGAGGACAATTGCAGAAAAGGAAATATCTTCGTATAATAACCAGACAGAATCATTCTCAGAAAGTGCTTTGTGATATGTGCGTTCAACTCACAGAGTTTAACCTTTCTTTTCATAGAGGAGTTTGGAAACACACTGTTTGTAAAGTCTGCAATTGGATATATGGACCTGTTTGAGGCCTCCGTTGGAAACGGGATTTCTTCATTGAATGCTAGACGGAAGAATTCTCAGTAAATTCTTTGTGTTGTGTGCATTCAACTCACAGAGTGGAACGTCCCTTTAGACAGAGCAGATTTGAAACACTCTTTTTGCGGAATTTGCAAGTGGAGATTTCTAGCCATTTGATGCCAACAGTAGAAAGGGAAATATCTTCAAATAAAAACCAGACAGAATCATTCTCAGAAAATTCTTTGTGATGTGTGCGTTCAACTCACATAGTTTAACCTTTCTTTTCATAGAGCAGTTTGGAAACACTCTGTTTGTAAAGTCTGCAAGTGGATATATGGACCGCATTGAGGCCTTCGTTGGAAACGGGATTTCTTCATTTCATGCTAGACAGAAGAATTCTCAGTAACTTCTTTGTGCTGTGTGTATTGAACTCACAGAGTGGAACGTCCCTTTGCACAGAGCAGATTTGAAACACTCTTTTTGTGGAATTTGCAAGTGGAGATTTCAAGCGATCTGATGCCAACAGTAGAAAAGGAAATATCTTCAAATAAAAACTAGACAGAATCATTCTCAGAAACTACTTTGTGATGTGTGCCTTCAACTCACAGAGTTTAACCTTTCTTTTCTTAGAGCAGTTTAGAAACACTCTGCTTGTTATGTCTGCAAGTGGATATTTGGACCTCTTTGAGGCCTTCGTTGCAAACGGGGTTTCTTCCTTTCATGCTAGACTAAGAAGAGTTCTCAGTAACTTTTTTGTGTTGTGTGTATTCAACTCACAGAGTTGAACCTTGCTTTAGAGAGAGCAGATTTGAAACACTCTTGCTGTGGCATTTTCAGGTGGAGATTTCAAGCGATTTGAGGACAATTGCAGAAAAGGAAATATCTTCGTATAATAACCAGACAGAATCATTCTCAGAAAGTGCTTTGTGATGTGTGCGTTCCACTCACAGAGTTTAACCTTTCTTTTCATAGAGGAGTTTGGAAACACACTGTTTGTAAAGTCTGCAAGTGGATATATGGACCTGTTTGAGGCCTTCGTTGGAAACGGGATTTCTTCATTGAATGCTAGACGGAAGAATTCTCAGTAAATTCTTTGTGTTGTGTGCATTCAACTCACAGAGTGGAACGTCCCTTTAGACAGAGCAGATTTGAAACACTCTTTTTGCGGAATTTGCAAGTGGAGATTTCTAGCCATTTGATGCCAACAGTAGAAAGGGAAATATCTTCAAATAAAAACCAGACAGAATCATTCTCAGAAAATTCTTTGTGATGTGTGCGTTCAAATCACATAGTTTAACCTTTCTTTTCATAGAGCAGTTTGGAAACACTCTGTTTGTAAAGTCTGCAAGTGGATATATGGACCGCATTGAGGCCTTCGTTGGAAACGGGATTTCTCCATTTCATGCTAGACAGAAGAATTCTCAGTAACTTCTTTGTGCTGTGTGTATTTAACTCACAGAGTGGAACGTCCCTTTGCACAGAGCAGATTTGAAACACTCTTTTTGTGGAATTTGCAAGTGGAGATTTCAAGCGATTTGATGCCAACAGTAGAAAAGGAAATATCTTCAAATAAAAACTAGGAAGAATCATTCTCAGAAACTACTTTGTGATGTGTGCCTTCAACTCACAGAGTTTAACCTTTCTTTTCTTAGAGCAGTTTAGAAACACTCTGCTTGTTATGTCTGCAAGTGGATATTTGGACCTCTTTGAGGCCTTCGTTGCAAACGGGGTTTCTTCCTTTCATGCTAGACTAAGAAGAGTTCTCAGTAACTTTTTTGTGTTGTGTGTATTCAACTCACAGAGTTGAACCTTGCTTTAGAGAGAGCAGATTTGAAACACTCTTGCTGTGGCATTTTCAGGTGGAGATTTCAAGCGATTTGAGGACAATTGCAGAAAAGGAAATATCTTCGTATAATAACCAGACAGAATCATTCTCAGAAAGTGCTTTGTGATGTGTGCGTTCAACTCACAGAGTTTAACCTTTCTTTTCATAGAGGAGTTTGGAAACACACTGTTTGTAAAGTCTGCAATTGGATATATGGACCTGTTTGAGGCCTTCGTTGGAAACGGGATTTCTTCATTGACTGCTAGACGGA